>NC_000020.11:5823910-5975425 GCF_000001405.40 Homo sapiens | reverse complement strand
CTAGGGGTTAAAACAGGCTCCCACCTATAATTCACTAATTCCAAAGTTACACACACGAACAGGTATACCACACAAAAGACAGAAAAGAAAGCTGTAACAATTCAGATCCCCACTTGCATCTTTTCCTACATATTCTAAACATAATGTTTTCTTTTTTTTTTTTTTTAAAGACAGGGTCTTGCTCTATTGCCCAGGCTGGGGTACAGTTGCATAACGATGGCTCCCTGCATTCTCCAACTTCTAGGCTCAAGCAATCATCCTGCTGCAGCCTCCGGAGTAGCAGGGACTACAGGTGTGCGCCACCATGCCCAGCTAATTGTTTTCTTTTTTGTAGAGATAGGGTCTCACTTTGTTGCACAGGCTGGTCTTGAACTCCAGGCCTCAAGTAATCCTTCCGACTTGGCCTCCCAAAGTGTTAGGATTACAGGCGTAAGCCACTGCACCCAGATTCCTGTTCATGATGAGCTTTGTTTCACCTGTAAGGGGTACCCTGAGCCTCTGTTGTCAGGCTACATTGTAGCGAGGTCTCAGAACAGAATTTATTTTTTAAAAAGTAGCCCCAGATGGCCAAAAGGAACCAAACATAGATGAAATATCTATGGAATTATAATAATATCTAGGAATTAAAATGACTGGTTTAACACTCAACCACAGGCAATAAAGGATGACTCAGATATGAAGGACAGTGGGTTTATAATGTAATGACAAGATCAAAGCAGTTCTCAAGGCTGGCTGCATATTAGAATCATCTGTGGACTGTTGTACACATATAGACACTAGGACCCTAACTTAGAAACTCTTAACTCAATTGGCTTGCAGTGGGCTATGGTATTTTCAAAGAGCTCCAAAAGTAATTAAGATGTGCAGCCAGGATCCCAATCCTTGGAAAAAGATTTAGGAGCCATACTACTACAACTTACTAAAGGGCCAGAGAAGCCCTGGTCAATTTTCCACATCGAGTGAAGAAGGGGGCCACAGGCATTTTTAGAAAGCACAGTGGCCAAGCACAGTGGTTCACACCTTTAATCCCAGCACTTTGGAAGGCTAAGGCAGGTGGATCTGCTTGAGCCCAGGAGTTCGAGACCAGCCTGGGCAACATGGCAAAACCCCATCTCTACAAAAAAAGCATTAGCCAGGCATGGTGGCACATGTCTATAGTCCCAGCTACTTGAGAGGCTGAGTTGGAAGAATTGCCTGAGCCCAAGGTGGAAGCTGCAGTAAGCCAAAGTTGCGCCACTGTACTTCAGTCTGGGCAAAAGAGGAAGACCTTGTCTCAAAAAAATAAAGTAGAAAGCACATTACGGCTGGCTTACCGGTTGTCACTTTAAGGAAACTACAAGCATACCAATAAGCAGCACCTTCTAAAGCCATCATAAAACCCAGGAAAGGAAAACCACTAGGCTCTGACTGGCAGAGGCAGAATTTTCTTGGGGATCTACAAATGACTGATCACAGCAGTTGCCTTGCTTTGGACAGAGCGTGGTGGCTCACACCGGTAATCCCAGCACTTTGGGAGGTTAAGGTGGGTGGATCACTTGAGGCCAAGAGTTCAAGACCAGCCTGGCCAACACAGCAAAACCCTGTCTCTACTAAAAATACAAAAATTAGCTGGGCGTGGTGGTGCGCACCTATAATCCCAGCTACTCAGGAGGCTGAGGCACAGGGATTGCTTAAAAGTGGGAGGCAGAGGTTGCAGTGAGCCCAGATCATGCCACTGCACTCCAGCCTGGGCAACAGAGTGTGACTCCGTCTCAAAAAAAAAGGTTGCCTTGATTTGGACTCACAAGCAGTGGAGATATATACAGACAGATCCCACACCTTTAGCAGACTGTTCTTAAAGCCCAATACAGTGTTTATGTACTTGTATGAGGGAGAATAGGTGACCCTGCTTTAACTCCCCTGAACTATTCTGTTCATAGGTGAGGTCACATAACAACTAACAACAACAAAGACTAGCAAAACAATGGTTAGAGAAATGGTTAATATTTCCTAATAGTTGATGTCTCAACAGACCAAGATGTTTGTACAGCCTCTGTAACAGGAGACTGGCTCAATTTAAAAATATGGTCAGATATAAGTTACATATTACTCACACAAATTCCAATTCATTTACGCCACCTAACCATGTCCTCTGGAACACACACACTACATGCTTTGAGAAAATTCACTTGTGAATTATTAACGCATTTTACAAGCAAAAGAACAAACACTAAATGACTGATTGTCTACCTGTAGCATTTGACTTTTTCCTAGGCCTGGATCTCCAACAACAAGGATGTGGGGGTCTCCCCGAATTGGAATTCTGTTTTTGTCATCTGCGTATTTCTGGCTTCCTCCAAAGAGTGCTAATGCCAAACCTGCTTTAACAAGCTCAAGTGCGAAAAAAGAACAAAAAACAGAAGTAAGGAAAACATAAAGGTGACTAGTAAAGGGGGTATTCCTCCTTCTATAATATTAATTTGTTTGGGGATTGTTTTAAAAGCATGATAATTTTTTTCTAAGAAAAGGAAGTCTAAAAACAAACTTCTATCACGTAAATGATTAAAAAGTAAAAACTTGAAAACATATAAAATCAGAGCTATCTTAGAAATTACTAAGAGCTACCTTGCAAGGCATAAATCCATTCCACAAAAACGAGAAATATTTGTTTTTGCTTTAATACTGGCAGTGTCTAGTCACTTTAAAAGCCCATTTCTTACCAAAAGTAGCTGGGTCTGGTGGCGCATGCCTGTAGTCCCAGCTACTCGGCAGGCTGAGGTGGGAGAACTGTTTGAACTTGGGAGGTGGAGGTTGCAGTGAGCTGAGATCGCACCACTGTACTCTAGCCTGGGCGACAGAGCAAGACTCCATCTCAAAAAAATAAATAAATAAAATAAAAGCCCATTCATATTTACTCTAGTTGGTAAAAGTTTTTTCTTAAAAGGAGCTATACGGCTGACACCTATAATCCCAGCACTTTGGAGGCTAAATTGGGTGGATCACTTGAGGCCAGGACTTACAGACCAGCGTGGGCAACATGGCAAAACCCCATCTCTACAAAAAATACAAAAAAATTAGCTGCACATGGTGGTGCATGCCTGTAGTTCCAGCTACTCAGGAGGCTGAGGTCAGGAGGATGACCTGAGCCCCAAAGCTGGAGGTTGCAGTGAGCCATGACTGTGCCATCACACTCTAGCCTGGGTGACAGAGCAAAACCCTGTCTCAAAAAATTAAAAAAATTAAAAAAAAAAAAGCTATAGTTTGCTTGCCTCCCATATCATTAATTTACAAAGCATATTAAGATATAAATAACTGGCCAATAGAAATTTGCTACTTTCTGTAAAGTTTTTATATGTTATTTTTGCTAACCTTATATACTTTTTGAGTAAAGATGAAGTAAAATACTTACTTCATGACCAAAAATGACAGGGCAAAGCGAGCTGAAAAACAGAACACAACTTATAAATTCTAATTTATACTTCATTGATCCATTAGGAGATCTCCTCTACAATTTGTTTAACCTGCTTAATATCAACAAAGACAAATGTAAAAAATTTACATCCCCTCAACTGAAATTTTATTCTTACAGTACATTTCTCAAAGTTCTTGGTTAATCTATAAAGGTTAGAATTTTTTAAAAACTCTGCATAAGGAACAGAGGATACTTGCAAAGCATCTTAAAGTAACTAAATACAATGTTGCTCTTCTTACACAACTAGCCTTAAAATGCGTCACAATCATGGTCTTCCATTTTAGGATACGGGATTATATTGTATTTTATGTGAACAGACATCTTGAGACTGTGCAGCCAAGTCACTGAAAGGAGACTGAGAAGTGAACTCAGTATATAATACTCTAAGATGGGATAAAATTTCATTTTTTTCAGTTCAAGTCAAAAGGTCAAATTAAATAAGAAAATGAGGCCAGGTGCAGTGATTTGTAGAACCAGAAAGTCCAGAAAGGTGGGATAACTCAAAGCATGGGCTTCCAGCCTACAGGTAAATCTAAACATTTTCTGGTTGACAATTGGTTGAGTTTGTCTAAAGACCTGGGATCAATAGAAAGGAATGTTTGGGATGCAAGAGGTTGTAGAGACCAAAGTTTTATCATGCAGATGAAGCTTTGGCTAACAGGTTTCAGAGAGAACAGGCTGTAAAATGTTTCTTATTAGACTTAAAATCTGTGTTGATGTTAATGCCAGAGAGGTATAATAAGGCATGTCTGACCCCCACTTCCCTTTGTGGCCTGAATCAGTCTTTCAGGTTAAATCTTAAGAGCCCTGGCTGAGAAGGAAGTCTGTTTAAATGGGTGGGGGGCCTTGGAATTTTATTTTTGGTTTACAGGTTCATGCCTGTAATCCCAGCAAGCACTCTGGGAGGCCAAGGTGGAAGAACTGCTTCAGCCCAAAAGTTCAAAACTAGCCTGTGCAACAAAGTGAGACCCCGATATCTATAAAAAAAAAAATTAAAAATTAGCCAGCCATGGTGGCATACACCTTTAGTCCTAGCTACTTGTGAGGCTGAGGTGGGAGAATAACTTAAGGCCAGGAGTTTGAAGCTACAGTGAGCTCTGATTGTGCCACGGCAATCCAGCCTGGGCAACACAGCAAGACCCTGTCTCTAAAAAAAATTAAGAGAAAGAATATAAAACAGTACATTTACATTTGTCAATTTTATAAACAAGGAACAAACAAAAATAGGGTGGGAGAGAAAATCAGGAGTAAAACATGAGTCTTTATTCCCTTTTAATATATGTAAACACAGAAGGAGGTGGTGGTGTGCTCATATCCCCTTGGCACTCACTGTTCAGTATGTTCCGGCTTCCTACTGGCATCTGCACCTGTCTGCCAAAGACCTTTCTATGGCCACACAAGCATCATTGGCAGGCAGGATGGGCAGGCCAGAAGTGCTGAGGTGTTTAATACTCCTGGGGGCAGTCCCAAATGTAGGCCCTTAAATGGAAAAATACTGAAGCTGGCTTTCCACAGTGGAGTTTTCCACTGGCCCAGGAGGATTATGTCCCAGATGCTAGTGGGTCACCTGTTCGTTAAGGCACCTACACTGGCTGCCATCATTTCCCTACCAGTAACTCCAGAATCACCTCCCAAGTAAACTATGTTGATCCAAATCATTGCTTCTGAAGGAACCTAAACTAAAACATAAACTTCTACTGTCACCTAGGCTGGGTTGACAAACTTTTTCTTAAAGGGCCAGAAAGTATTTTCAGCTTCACAGGCTATACTGTCTCAGTCACAACTATTCAACTTGTAGTGTGCAAGCAACTGTGAACAGTAATGTAAGTAAACTGGGTGGGGCTGTGTTTTAATAAAATTTGACTTACAAAAACAGGCAGCCTGCCTAGTTTGCCAATCTCTGCTAGACTGATAATAGAGGACCATGAAAAATTCTAGTTTTGATGCTGAAATCACAAACATGGAGGGGGAAAAAGCAAACTGTGGGAAGAAAACTAAAGTTTTCCATACTTACTCTTCTATAAGTATGGGAGAAGAGGGACCACTAAAAATGTTCAGTTTTAATTTACAACTGTTAAGAGGAACCAAAGATGTTTGGATTGTCGACCAGGTTGCTTCCTTGGCCACCTGCTCAAAGGACTCACTCCAAGACCACCCCAGCAACGCTAAGTTAGAGCAGCCTCTCTTCCAGGGTGGGTCTGAATGGCTTTTATTCAGAGGGAAGTAGGATTTAAGGACAAAAAACCCCTGTGGAGCACTATTCTTTACTCAGTCAGCTAATTAACATATTAAAGCCAGAAAGAAAAAGCATCAAATCCTCTTACAGACCTGAGCCTACTGAACAGAAAAGCATGACAAAATCACTTTTTTTTTTTTTTTTTGTGAGACAGAGTCTTGCTCTGTTGCTCAGGCTGGAGTGCAGTGGCGCGATTTCAGATCACTGCAACCTCCGCCTCCCAGGTTCAAGAGATTCTCCTGTCTCAGCCACCCAGGAAGCTAGGATTACAGGCACCTGCCATCATGCCCAGCTAATTTTTCTATTTTTAGTAGAGACAGGGTTTCACCATATTGGTCCGGTTGGTCTCGAACTCCTGACCTCAGGTGATCCACCCGCCTCGGCCTCCCAAAGTGCTGGGATTACGGGCTTGAGCCACTGTGCCTGGCCAAGATCACTTTTTATAATACAATGCATTTCAAAACGTTCTCAGTTCTTTACCTCTCTTAGATATATCTATTATTCAGTCTCTCTCATTTTCTCCTATTTCTTCAAAATTACCCCACAGTTGTCAAAAAATTATCAAAAGTAACAGTATGTTGCAGTAGTTATGTTAAGTACATTATAAAATCCCACTTAATCTTTAGAACAACCTTCTGAGGTAAGTCTTATTATTTCCATTTTAAGGTGATACAAATAAAGGGGAAATTAAGTAATATGTCCCAGATCACACTGGAAGTAAATGCCCAAAGCAGGAGTCTAACTTAGGTTTGTCTCCAAAGAAAAGCTCTTAACCACTAAAGCAAAAAATGCCTATACTTTGCTGCTTCTCCACGGCATGGCAATAGCATGGAAATAAAATTATCAAATACTTTTTGAATATATGTTAATTCGATTTGAATCTCTATGAGCAACACCCTACACAGAACTAATTGAAATGGCTTTGGAATTCACTGTTCCCTCACTCTTCCGTTGAGTGACAAACTTCTTGTATAAGATAGTAAATATTCTGTATTGTTTAAACTAGAGATCAGCAAATTTTTTCTATAAAAGGATAAAGCAAAAATATGTGAGCCATATATATGTTCTCTGTCACAACTATTCAACTCTGCCACTGTAGCACAAAAGCAGCACACTTATGTAAATGAATGAGTGTGGCTATGTTCCAATAGAACTTTATTTATGGACACTGAAATCAGAATTTTTTTTTTTTTAAAGACAGAGTTTCACTCTTGTTGCCCAGGCTGGAGTGCAATGGCACGATCTTGGCTCACTGCAATCTCCATCTCCCGGGTTCAAGTGATTCTTCACTTCAGCCTCCCGAGTAGCTAGGATTACAGGCGCCCGCCACCAAGCCCGGCCAATTTTTGTATTTTTAGTAGAGACAGGGTTTCACCATGTTGGCCAGGCTGGTCTCGAACTCCCGACCTCAAGTGATCCGCCTGCCTCGGCCTCCCAAAGTGCTGGGATTACAGGCGTGAGCCACCATATCCAGTTGAAATCTGAATTTCATATAAGTTCATGTGTTGTGAAATATTCTTTTAATTTATTTCAACCATTAAAAAATATAAAAACCATTCTTAGTTCATAGGCCATACTCAAGGGGATGGAGTACTGTATTTGGTACATGGACTGTAGTTTGCCGACCATTTTGACTAGTTTTTTGTTACCTGTAGCCAAGAGAACCCCCAACATGCATCTATGTAATAAAATTTCAAATGACAGCATACATACTTGACAATGAGTTTAAACAGGTTTTCTTCAGCTTGAATCTCTTGGATGGCATAAAGGTCTTTAAGTGAGAACTCCATCAACATTCCATGCTTACACCCATCCTCAGAACTCTTTGTTTTCTGTCCTTTGCTATTACTAATAGAATTTGCTTCAATATACAAAAGGAACATACACTTGTCATTCTTATTTCGAGAACCTGTAAATTAAAAGTGTTAAATACAATAGTTGGTATTTTCATTTTCCCTACAATGACTCAACTAGAATATAAAACAAAGTCATAGGGAGCTACAAATACATGTTTTTTTAAAAGGGAATGTTTCATCTTATGTAAGCAACAAGAAATTCCTCAAATTATTTGAGGTTCAGGAGCATCTTAGAAAAGATGAACGTTGATGAATCATTATTGAGAGACAAATAATGAAAAGAGTTGTACCCTACCTTCTTCCGCATTTGAGACTTTGACAATTCCAGTAATAGTCACTGTGTCTCCCGGGACACAGCTATCCACAAGATCATGAACAAGCTCACATTCTATTGTTCGTGGAATCCGACCTGCTTCTCTCTGATCATCAGACATCAATTCCTGGATTCTAAAAAGTTTAAATAGTTTTCAGTTAGAATACTTACTTTGGATGGTTTCTGCAAGATATTAACTATTCAGGGTTCACATGATGCTGAGGAAGATAAAAGCAGATTTGCTTATTAACAGTTTAATGGTATATCTAAAATTACTTCAGCAGTTTCCAATTCAAGATAGCCAAATGAACATATGTATTTGCCTAGCCTCCCTCCAAAATGTCCACCAAAATGAGTCACTAAAAATTTGGGGGTATGTAGAGGTATCATCAGCAAATGAGATATTAATGAAATTTTTGAAACCAGCAAATGGTAAAGTATTGATGGATAAAACAAAATAAAGTCCAGAATACACATGGGCAAAAGCTATAAGCGTACAAGCAAAGTGGGACCCAACGTTCTTAGCAGAGCCCCAGAGAAGCTTCCAAGTTGGATGTGGCAGGAATAGAGAGCAGGAGTAGATGGCTGGAAGAAAACAGTAATCAACCGAAAGACAAGTCATGGAATAGCTGTTGAGAATTTTTGGAGAAGGTGAGTGGACAGGTGGGTAGGGGAAGAATGCGTACTTTATCATCTGGCAAAAACCAGAGCACTGTTCTAAGGAAACAAACCCATCCCCTCTGTGAAGGGAGCTAAACTGTGCAGTGAGAATATCAGAGCTTCAGAATAAAGACTCTTCATTCTACCATCTGAGAAACCCAATTCCAATTCAAAAACACATTCATAAAGCAAAATCTGATAGCCCAAACCCCTATCTTTGTATTTAGAGGTAAAGTCTTGTGAGAAAAAACTACTACCTAAAAAATTGCAAAGGAAACCTATCCTACCTACTTCAAATACTTTCTCATTCCTCATCAGACATTTGAAAATTAAATGGCAATAATTCAGGGAGTATTAAAAACAAACTGCCTAAGAGTTTTGAGAAAATATTGCCATGATAAAACAGGAATAAGCCACTACAAAAAGGGAACAATGGGGAAACAAGTACAAAATCAAGAAAATTTAAAGCATGTATATAAAAATCAAGCATTTATAGAGAAGATATAAGAAAAAGCCAAAGAAATCTAGAAAACAGAACAAAGAAAATGAAAGAATGAGGAAAAACTTAAAACAAATAATCCAAGCAATGCATCTGATAGGAAGCTGAGAAATCAGTCAGATATTCTAGAGTTGAAGACAAAAGATCCTGCCAATCAAGCAGGATAGAGACAACTAGATACACTTTCACTGTTTCACAGCATGATAGATAAAATGGTTACAAAGAGGAGGAAAAGTCCAGTCCTCAAAGGAATGAGAATCAGATGAGCACCAGACCTCTCATAAACAGCAGAGAAAATTAAAACCAAATAGACTTCAATAGCTAGCAAACTCTTAGCCAGACTAAGATCCAAATAAAGACATTTTCAGACATGCAAGGGCTTAGAACTTTTTACCTGTCCTGTATACTTTCTGAAAATTTACTTGGGAATATTCCTTAGAAAAAATGCAATGAAGCAAGATCCCAGGATGAAGCAGGAATGCAGGTCTGGAGAACTACTGATCCAGACTCAAGCAGAAGGAAGGTGTGTTTTTTTGTTTTTGTTTTTTAAGAATAAAAGGTGGATTCCATGTATTCCATAGTATATTGAAGAGAGAATGGAAAATTATGGTGAAATGGTACAGGCATACTCTAAGAAGTAAAACCAGCACTTAGAAACCTTAGGAAAAATAAAGTACTAAATGACAAAGTTACAGTCCAAATATGATGCACACTAAAATGTGGGATAATTCCAAATAACTAGCAGAGTATAAGAAAAGATAATTTGATGCTTGAGTCATTTTCATTTAAGGGGTAAAAACCAACAAAACAAAACCCAGTGACATAAATTACAGCTCCTTTGCTTGGCATTTGATCATTCATTTGGTTCTTTGTTGAGCTATATTTACATTTTTATGTTAATAAAATGGGAAGGGAAAGGAGTAGAAGGACCGCCATAATAAGGACTTACCAGACGAAAAGGGGTGTTTGATATTGGGACAAAGCTGGAGGTTTTATGTTAATTATTCTGGTAATAAAGTTAATGGCCCCTAAAATGGAAGAGACAGTGGAACGTGAAGATGGTCAGATCCACAGAGGCTTGTGCATGTGCTAGGTTTTTTGCTAAGGGGGGATAAACTGTCCAGCCAGTTCCAGCACTGGCTTCGACCACTGAAGACGCAAGTAGGAGTAGAAAAGATGGAGGGAGAAGTCAGAAGCTCATATTATTTATCCCGGGGAATGCCATATCGGGCATTTTTATTAACATAAAAATGTAAATGCCTGTTTATTGTTTTTGTTAGACATGACCTATAAATAAACTCTGGAAGACAATTATAATTAGAAGACAAAAGGTAAACCTTGACAATTTAAAGTAATGTCGGAACGGAGAAAGTCTAGAAGATAAAAGAACAAGTATGTTTCTAATGTCCTCAGCTCACATAGAATGACTGCAGTAAAGCGAAGGATGAAAGACACAAGAATGGTATCTAAAGTTATGTATAATGTAACAGCAAGTTGTGGGGACTGTGCCTTTCCACACTGATTGAATTTTTAAAAACATGCACATGTTATTAAAGCTTTTTTTACTTAATTAATGTAAGTACAATCATTGAACATTAAAATAATAACTTTGGAATACATTCATCATACATCTAGACTACCTCTCAATGTTTTTCAGGTCATGGGCCAGGCGCTGGCATCCACCTAACCTGCACGACTTCAAACCTTGCTCCAAGATCACTCACCACTTCACAATCAATTCACCCCCCACACCCACTTTTTTAAGATGAGTCAAGTGCAGTAGTGAGAAGGGAGGAAAGAGTAGAACAAGAAGTTTGATCTGTAAGTGACTGTGAATAATCAACTGAAATAACTTACTACCTCCAGACTAACCCTTTGTCCCTCTTAAGTGGTAAAAGTCCCACAGACTAGGTTGGAAATCAGGCTCTACCATACTCATAGGCCACACGATCATACTCAAGAGTCTTAACCATTTCCTCTTTTATAAAATGGGGTGTTTGTAAAGATCTCACTATAGTACAATTAATTATTATATATGTTGGTCTTAATTTTTCAGGGAAGAAGGGGGTGAAGCAGTTAGCAGCAGATCATCTTATCTTTTCCCTAGGTTCTTAGTTCTTAGGACCATCTCATTTCAGCCAGGTTTGCTAGAGAGCACTGACTTCAAAACCATTCATTATTTTATATTTAGGGATGAGCTATAGATCTACAGCTAGAAAAAATGTAATCAATTATGGGATGAAAAACACATACACAAAGAAAACTCTGACTTGCAAAAAAAAAAAAAAAAAGCTATTAAAAAACCCTATAGTAAAATGCCCCATTGCAACATTGAGAACATAAAATGAAACATGCCATTTCAAAGGGAGTCTTTATTTGAAAACTTCAAAACAATATTATTTCTATCACAGCTCAATATGGAATGAAGCACACAGCTTTGCTTATGGCCTATATCCAGTTCAATTAATCACATAATTGAGATATAAAATCAACTATTTCTCATTAGGACACAATATTTGCATAATGAATCCTTTCTGGAATCTGACAGAGAATAAATTTCAAATAAAGACAATTAGGCTAGGAGCGGTGGCTCACGCCTGTAATCCCAGCACTTTGGGAGGCTGAGGCGGGCAGATCACGAGGTCAGGAAATCAAGACCATCCTGGCTAACACGGTGAAACCTCTAAACTAAACCTCTACTAAAAATACAAAAAAATTAGCCAGGCATTGTGGTGGGCGCCTGTAGTCCCAGCTACTCAGGAGGCTGAGGCAGGAGAGTGGCATGAACCCAGAGGGAGAGCTTGCAGTGAGCCAAGATCGCGCCACTGCACTGCAGCCTGGGTGACAGAGCAAGACTCCGTCTCAAAAAAAAAAAAAAAAAAAAAGAATTATTTTAACATACAAACTCTTCATCAAATAAACCATCTATTATACACTATTATACACTTTGTCATTTAGATAAAACGTACAATATAATACAGTAAAATTATGGATTTTCTCAACAGTGTGACATCTAAAGCCTGCCTTTTATGTAACAGTCTGATCGCTTACTTGATTGACTGCCAGTCCATCGTAACTGTGAGAGGAGAGCTGCGGAGAGCAGTAAATGACCTGCCTCGACACACAGGCACAGGACACTGAATGAAACAAAAGTAATTCACATTCAGATTTTGATAAACTATAATCACACCTCAGGAAAATTCAGTTAAAACATTTCATTTAATATTGTTTTAAAAGTTGGTCTCAGGATGCTAGTAAAGTAAAATCCACTGAGAGATTAATGACTTTCTATTTCCTCCTGCAACAATTTAATATCGACAGCTTTTGAGGCACTTTCCAATTGATCCTTCTCACTTACTGTTCGTATCCTGCTATGGGTATGCAAGGTGCTTTGCTTGCCTCCCACATGAAGCACTTATTGCTTCCTCTGTGCCCATGCCACCTCTCGCTCCTTCAACAACCCTCTCATTCTGTCCCACATGCCCAATGCCAATCCTCTCCTTTTCAAAAGGCTTTCCAGAGTTTTCTTTAATCCCCAGCTTTCTCATCTAGGCTCCTTTTGCACTTTCTGTAGAGTGTAATACTTATTATGCCACACAGGCACTTGTTTGGTGTTTGGATCTCAAGAAGCATTTATAAATTCAGACTGTGGCAGACTGTATTTGCCAAATATGATTGCAACAATATTTATCTTCAAGACTTTTTAGAACCTTGCTACTCCTCCATTAAGAAATGAAGGCCGGGCGCGGTGGCTCACGCCTGTAATCCCAGCACTTTGGGAGGCCGAGGCGGGTGGATCATGAGGTCGGGAGATCGAGACCATCCTGGCTAACAAGGTGAAACCCCGTCTCTACTAAAAATACAAAAAATTAGCCGGGCGCGGTGGCGGGCGCCTGTAGTCCCAGCTACTCGGGAGGCTGAGGCAGGAGAATGGCGTGAACCCGGGAAGCGGAGCTTGCAGTGAGCCGAGATTGCGCCACTGCAGTCCGCAGTCCGGCCTGGGCGACAGAGCGAGACTCCGTCTCAAAAAAAAAAAAAAAAAAAAAAAAAAAAAAAAAGAAATGAAGGCTAATTCCTTCTCCTGGAATTTGAGAAGGCCTGGGACTCACTTTGTTACCAACAGAATGTGACACAGTGATGTTGCACGACTTCTGAGACTAGCTCACAAAAGGCAAGGCCATTTCTGCCTACCAACTGCACTTCTTGACCTGAACCTGTCAGCAGCCATATAAGCAGACTGAGTGCCTGAGCTGCTATACTGTGTGCAAGAAGCCCAAACTAGCCCACACAGCCACATGGAGAAGAAGATGCCTGGCCAGCCCCCAGCCACCTTGCTGTACTCCAGCCACCATCTGACTACAACTCCATGAGAGGCCTGGAGCCAGAACTAGCCAGTTGAGTAGTTCTTCCAAACTCCTGATCCACAGATATCATGAGAACTAATAAAATGATTGGCTTTATTTTCGGCCACTGAGTTTTGGAGTGATGTGTTACGCAACAATAGTGGCGGGAATAGAGATCAACTGAAACAGCCATCTTTCTGTCACTTCAAAGCCCCACAGTTCAGACAAATGGAGGACCTCTTCACGACATCACACATGAGTCAATGCTACTACCTAATTTATTAGGGGGCATGAAAATACCCTGAACAAATACTGTCTAGAAAATATCTGATTTAAGGAGGTCAAGGCTGCAGTGAGCTGTATTCATGCCCCTGCACTCCAGCCTGGGTGACAGAGTGAGACCCCGTCTTCAAAATAAAAGGAAGAAAATATCTGGTTTAAATCAGGATTTAAATTCTGGCCTCTAAGCTAAAGGTTATACCTTGAACCTTAAGCCAAGACAAACACCAGATGAAACCCATCTATCAACACCACTGATTATTCAGAACCAATAGCTGAATCTCACATACCCTCTTCTTCCAGTCAGAGAAAGAAGCCTTAGGAATTTCAAACATAAACATCTTATGTTTCCCTTTTTAATTCTTCAAGGGACTATTTACCTCACTAAGGATTCAACCCTTCACATGAGCAAAAATTTAGCAAATGTTAAATTTAGTAAAGCCCAATGGTGATAACGATGACTCTGGGTACCACCGAGGAAACATTATACATCCATGGTAACAAGGGCTTAATTAATAAATGGTGTCAGGATAAATAGCTTTTCACCTAAAAATTAGATCACTAGTTTGTTTTTTTAAGAGATGGGGGTCTCACTATGCTGCCCAGGCTAGTCTCAAACTCCAGGGCTCAAGCGATCCTCCTGCCTCAGACTACTGAGTAGTTGGGACTACAGGCATATGCCACCATGCCCAGCTTAAATCCCTAGTTTTATGCCCTTCACCAATGGCTTAAATTCCAGATGGACAAAAGATCTAAAGATAAAAAACAAAACTTAGGATTCTTAGAAGCAATGTAGGAAATATGTTTATAATGCTTGAGTGAAAAGGGCTTCTTATTTATTTATGTATTTTTTGAGGCGGAGTTTCGCTCTTACTGCCCAAGCTGGAGTGCAATGGCGTGATCTCGGCTCACTGCAACCTCTGCCTCTTGGGTTCAAGCGATTCTCCGGCCTCAGCCTCCCGAGTAGCTTGGATTACAGGCATGTGCCACCACGTCTGGCTAATTTAGAATTTTTAGTAGAGATGGGGTCTCTCCCTGTTGGTCAGGCTGGTCTTCAACTCCTGACCTCAGGTGATCTGCCCGCCTCGGCCTCCCAAAGTGCTGAGATTACAGGCATGAGCCACCAAGCCCAGCCGAAGAACGGCTTCTTAAGCAGGGCATAAAATATACAAATTAGGGAGGAAAAGACAACAATTTGATCATGTCAAAATGTAAAACTGTACAACAAAAAAACCCACAAAGTTAAAAGACAAACCAAAGACTGGGAGAAAATATCTAATGTATATAATCAACAATAATTAGTATCTAGAATGTATAAAGAACTCCTATCAATAAACTAATAGAACCAGGCACAGTGGCTGGCACCTGTAGTCCCAACTACGTGGGAAGCTGAGATGGGAAGATCACCTGAGCCCAGGAGTTCAAGGTTGTAATGAGCTATGATCATGTCACTACACTCCAGCCTGGGCAACAGAATGAGACCCCATCTCTAAAAAACAAAATTAAAGAATAAACCAATAAACAGGAAAATGAACATTAGATATAAATAGAAAATTCGATAAAGAAACTGAATGGCCAGTAAAGATATGAAAAGATGCTCAACCACAACAGAAATCAGAAAAATTCACATTATAAATGCAGTATTATTTATACCTAACAAACTGTCAAAAATGTACAAGTCTAACAATACCAAGTGTTAATGAAAAGACAGAGAAATGGTAACTACTTAACACTACCAGCAAAGATTTAAGTTGGGAACAATACTCTGGAAAGTAATTTGGTAACATCTAATACAGTTAAAAATAAGTACAGCCGGCCAATCCCAGCACTCTGGGAGGCTGAGGCAGGCGGATCACCAGGTCAGGAGTTTGAGAACAGCCTGGCCAACATAGTGAAACCTTGTCTCTACCAAAAATACAAAAATTAGCCAGGCATGGTGGCGCGTGCCTGTAGTCCCAGCTACTCGAGAGGCTGAGGCAGGAGAACTGCTTGAACCCAGGAGGCGGAGGTTGCGGTGAGCCAAGATCGCGCCACTGCACTCCAGCCCGGGCAACAGAGCGAGACTCCGTCTCAAAAAAAAAAAAAAAAAAAAAAAAAAGTACAGCCTACAACTTAGTATTCCTCTGCTAAGGAGACATGTACAAGAATGTTCTCTGCAGTATCATTTGTTCTTATAAAAAACTGGAAAGAGCACAATTGTCTACCTCCAGGAAAATGGATAAATTGTGGCTATTTATTTAAAGCAACACTCCACAATAGTAAAAATGAAAGAATTTGATATGTATTAAAATAGGTAGAACTACAAAATAACCAAATAAAAAAACAGCTGCGTGTTACATTCAGGATACCATTTACGTAAACACAATACAAAAAACTAACTCTACACATGTAGTCAAGAATAAAAATGTAAACTTGAAGAATACATGCCAATTTCAGCATAGTGGTTGCATCTAGGGAGCAAATAAAGGGAATAAAACTGAGAACAGAAAGACTTCAACTTTATATAACCATATTTTTGTTACAAATTAAGCTAAAATAATATTAATATTTGCCAAATCATAGAGTAGATAAATGTTAATTACATTATTCTCTGCACTTTTCTATAGTTTTAAAATCCAGTTTAATAAAGGCTAATAAAGATTTAAAAAACCCATCACTTCTAAATAGTAGAAGAAATAAAGGGGAAAAAAAACTTGGTGTGTATACCTAGAAGTCAACAGAAATATGAATGGAAGGGATGCATATTATAATAACTTCAGGATAATGATCATCCCTGGGAATGGTATAGGTAAAAAACAGACACTAATTGTGCCAGTAATGCTTTATATCATTAAAAAATGTGTCCGGAGCTGAAAAATGTAAATTCGGGGTGATGAGTAGTGGAATGTTTTATTTATTTCTGTATTTTTCTTACCCTGAAGTATTTCATAATATAAAAGCAGAAAATTGAAAATAAAAAATAAAAATAAGCTCTGTGTTCAGAAACACTGGGAAATGTTTTCTGTATTCTGATTTGCCTTCTTTACCAAGATAAATAAAGAAGCAGTTAAAGAACGTATTACCTTTGTGGGAAGACTGTATTTTCCATCTGGAAGAGGAAAGCTCTGAATTTCTCCACATGCAGCACAAAGAAAAGCCATCTTGGTGCAAAGAGGCTTTATATTACTGACACGAACCACTGTCCCTCTTAGAGCAATGTATTTTCCATAGTAATTTGCTCTGACATTCTTGAGCTGTGTCAAAGGCTCATAGTTGTACACCCTAAAGACAAAACAGGAAGTAATGAACAGAAAATTGATGTTTTTTATATTTTCACAAGTTCCTTTTAGGAGCAACTATGGAATTCTCAAATCAAATCATCCCTTCGATATATCAGAAATATCACAAGAATTAAACCATTCTTGTTGTGTTTTGTTTTCTTGAGATGGAGTCTCGCTCTGTTGCCAGGCTGGAGTGCAGGGGTGCCATCTTGGCTCACTGCAACCACTGCCTCCCGGGTTCAAGTGATTCTCCTGCCTCAGTCTCCCGAGTAGCTGGGACTACAGGTGTGTGCCACCACACCCAGCTAATTTTTGTATTTTTAGTAGAGACAGGGTTTCACCATGTTGGCCAGGATGGTCTCGATCGCTTGACCTCGTGATCCGCCTGCCTCGGACTCCCAGTGCTGGGATTACAGGCATGAGCCACCGTGCCCAGCCAAACCATTCTTAACAAGAAACAACACTAAATCTTCCTTTTTCTTCTTGTCTCACAGGCTGTTCTCAAGGAAAAAAGAAAAAAGAAATTTAAGGAAAAAAATAATGCCAAAAGGAAAATCTACAGATTCAAAAACCTTTGGGTTTCTAAGTTCTTTTTAAAGAACTGCTAGGAAATTTTCTTCTATAAATTCTGGAAAAGAAAAACAAAATGCTGATGATTACCTTATAATGAATTCTTCTAATGAATTTAAAATCTTAAAGATGAATTCAAGAAAAACAAAATAATTTCATTATTCCCTTGTATCTAACAAAAACCTAATAATTTAACAAAGAACACTTAGTGTATTACAGACTGAGTATATCCCTTATCCAAAATGCCTGGGACCAGAAGTATTTTGGAATTTTTGGACTTCCAAATATTTGCAATATTACTAGTTGAGTATCTCTAATTCAAAAATCTGAAGTGCTCCAATGAACATTTCCTTTCAGTGTCGTGTCAGGGCTCAAAGTTTTGAATTTTGGAGCATTTCAGATTTCAGATTTTCAGATTAGGGATACTCAACCCATACATGGATTATTAAACTTACACAGCAGGGTCTTGATAAGTTCACATCCAAAACCAATGTTTACAAAAATCTGCAGGTTAGGAAATCAACATTTTCTTCCTTATTTAGGAAGTATCTGTCATGATGTCTTTGAATAATTTTCAATGAGTTTATTTCAGTGTGATGATCAATGAGATGGCAAGGAACTCATGTCCTTTTTACTGATTTCCTCATTTTTATAAAATGAGCGTTTTCATTCTTAAATGGCCTTCAATGTCCCATTCTAAGTAATACTTTAATACATCAAATTCCTCACCTTGCATGAATATGTGGCACATTTACCATTGTTTCTCCATCATTAGACAATCCTTCCTGGGCTTGTAACTCAGCTGCATGCCTTTCAAGGTCCTTAGTTAACACCTAAACAGGACAGACATTTACTCTGAAGTTGGAAAACAAAACATCCTCTTTATACAGAACTCTATTTTTATAGAGAATATAAAGTTTATGGACAGAAACAGAATAAAAACAGAAAACTTTAACAGCCCTTTAAATATCTAATATTTAATTATGACTACTTACTTTATAGTGGATGTTTTACATTGGATTTTGCTGTCCCTGTGCTGAAAAACTCCAGCATCCCAGTCTGCTACTTTCTGTCCCAACTAAACCTAACATTAAAAGCCCTTACATTAGTCCCCAAAACCATCACCTCTTGATACTAATTAAAAAAAAAAAAATGCATTCCTATTTCTCTATATTCACTGACCAATCAAGACACAGAAAATAAAAATGACCTTTAAAATACCTAATACTCACTCCCTTGGCATTTAACATTAAATAATATAAACACGCTGGGCGCAGTGGCTCACACCTGTTATCCCAGCACTTTGGGAGGCCAAAGTGGGTGGATCCCCTGAGGTCAGGAGTTTGAGACCAGCCCGACCAACATGGTGAAACCCCATCTCTACTAAAAATACAAAAATTAGCCAAGTGTGGCAGTGCATGCCTATAATCCCAGCTACTTGGGAGGCTGAGGCTGCAATGAGGCAAGATCACACCATTGCACTCCAGCCTGGGCAACAAGAGCAAAACTCCATTTCAAAATAAATAAATAAATAAACAACAAACAAACATTTAATACCACTTGTACACAGCAGTTTGCTGGCAACCTAAGAGGCAAAATAAGATGCATATATACAGCTGTAATTGTCATAAGGACCATAAAGATGTACAGACAAAATACCATGCAAGTTTCGAAAAGTGGTCATGAGAAAGGTTTTACAGACAGACAACTGAGCTAGGCCCAAATAATCTGTCCATGTGAAGGGAAGGGGATTCTATGTTGAATGGACAGCACAGGCAAGAGGTAGAAGAATGCCCCTCTGAATGCCCCAGCACTTTGTGTATGCCTGTCCTGAGATTTGCTATTCATTACCTTGAAGCATGTATCTGTTTGCTAGCCTAAAAAATGTTTTTGGCCGGGCAAGGTGGCTCATGCCTGTAATCCTAGCACTTTAGGAAGCCAAGGCAGGCGGATCACAAGATCAAGAGATCAAGACCATCCTGGCCAACATCGTGAAACCCCGTCTCTACTAAAACTCCAAAACTTAGCTGGGCATGGTGGTGCACCCAGCCACTCGGGAGGCTGAGGCAAGAGAATCACTTGAACCCGGGAGGCAGAGGTTGCAGTGAGCGGAGATCATGACACTGCACTCCAGCCTGGCAACAAAGTGAAACTCCATCTCAAAAAAATAAATAAAAAATAAATTTAAAAAATTTAAAAAGTTAAAAATGTTTTCATATATGTTGTATTACCTGACCCTGAAAAAAAACTCAGGCAAGCACAGTACAAACTGTTATTTACATTTGATATACAGGGACACTCAGTGGTTTGCTTCATGCCACAGAACCTAAATCTAAGGTTGCTCTTTTTTGCTCTAAGTTCATAACCGATAACACCATGATTCCTTGTTTTATCTTCCCTATGAGATTGTATAACTTCTTGAAAGCAAAGTTTAATTTCTGCACAATCTTTAGCAAGATTAAGCAAATCCAAATAAGTTGGAGGTAAATATTTCATTTAGATAAGCTGTTGTATATAGAATGAATGGTATCTTTCAGAACGGAACTGCAACCTCTCAGTTCTAGCCAACATCTTTTCGTAAAAGCTAAGTATCTCTTATAGAAAGTACAGTCACTGTAAAATCTTCCTTTAAACTTAGACAAGGTGTGCATGTGTGTGCAAACATTAAAAAAGTTTAGACAAAAGTATGCATAAGACAAATAGTTACCTGATGTATTGCCAAACCCATGCAAGCCAAGGTTTTCTCAGGTGCATCTCTTAGTTCAGTTGCTATATCTGGTATCAAGTTAGTTACTTCACCACCTTCTGTCAGTTCTTTAAAATCTACCAAAATACTTCCCTTTCTTTCTATTTCATCCTATAAAATATAAAAGTATGAAAACAATAATTGCTTTTCTGTAGTCAATTACCATTAACTGAGCATTCTATTATAGACTTTGAGAAAGCATACAATGTTTATATGTGATAATGGTAAGTATGACATAAGTATAAGCTTTGTGCCAAGCATGGTTCTGATATTTTAAATATATTAATGTATTACTGCCTCTTAACAATCCTTTGAGGTAGGTATTTATACCTCTATCTCCAAATGAAAGAAAACTGAGGCACAGAGAAGTAATTAATCAAAGTCCATACTGCAGGTAAGTGGCAGAACTGAGGTCTGAACCAAGGAAGTCTGACTCCAGTGCCTACGATCATAATCACAAGTACCTCGAATACATTGGTAAGATGGCACATGACTGGTAGCTTTGCTGTAGAGGAATCTTACCTTGTCATACAAATCAATATGCCTTGTGAAAAATTTTTCAAATGCTTGAATCTTCTCAATCAAAGGAGAGCTATCGCTGTAAACTAATCCAACAAATATGGCATTAGCACAAATAATCACACAGGTACATGCACATTTTTCATGAGACAAAAGCAGCACTATATACATGGTAGATGATTTTTTTCTAATTGCTTTGTATTTTGATTACATTCATATAAGAACTAGTATAGAATGTAAACTTAAGATTCTAAAACAAATTTAGGTTTGCATAATGTGAAATGCAGACAGAAACTCTCTCTCTCTAAAAGCCCCACTATCTGGGAAACTTTGTTTTGCATCTTTGACACCTAATAGGACATGTTAGTTCAGATAATTTAGACAATAAGCTTAAACTAAAAATTATAATAAAGCCAAAGCCAGACACATAAACTAAGCTCTTACTCTGACAGAGCTGAAGACAATCACAATCACAGTCTTTCCTGAGATCAGGAGACAGACCAACACTTGACCCTGGTGGCAAAACTGAAAAGCCTTTTTTTTTTTAACACTCTAAAGTTCTACATTTTCAAATATGTCTCTCACAGAAGAACAGTACAATAAAGTAGTTTGGAAGCACAGATGGTGAAGGCTAAGGCACCTCTTGAACTCCATCTTTAGGACTGTCCAAAGATCACTTATAGTGTTCTGAGCTATCTGCTAGGGGAGCAATGGGAGTGCTGGTGGCTAATACATCCTAAAGGAACAAAAGATCATTCATGAAACAGATTCTATTGATGGAAAAAAACGAACAGATTTCCAATAAAGAAAACATTTGTAAAGTACTCTATTCATTCACAAAATGACTACTGCATGCCTGGTATGGGGCAGGGAGGGTCCTGGACCTCAAACGTCTAGTTTTCCTAAAAAAAAAAAGTATGCGGCTGGGTGCGGTGGCTCACGTCTGGAATCCTAGCACTTTGGGAGGCCGAGGCGGGCGGATAACGAGGTCAGGAGATCAAGACCATCCTAGCTAACACGGTGAAACCCCGTCTCTACTAAAAACAGAAAAAATTAGCCGGGCGTGGTGGCGGGTGCCTGTAGTCCCAGCTACTCGGGAGGCTGAGGCAGGAGAATGGCGTGAACCTGGGAGGCAGAGCTTGCAGTGAGCCAAGATCGCGCCACTGCACTTCAGCCTGGGCAACAGAGCAAGACTCCATCTCAAAAAAAAATAAAAAGTATGCACACACACACACACACACACACACACACACACCCCTCATGAGACATAAGAAACAAATGGGTATTTTAACAGCACAAAAAAGACAGTTCCCTGCACCTATACAGACTGATGTAGGTTAATTGGTATTCCTAATTATCAAAGGGAGATTCCTTACCTGTGTTTCTACACAAAGCTGTATTTGTTATTGTCCCTTGATTTCAGGCCCACTGTTCTACTTCCTGCTCTGCGATGCTATAATTCAGATCTGTACCCTACATGTCTCAGATTCTCTTTAAATTCTGCCAATTGAAGGCACTTTAGAGACGGGAAGGTGGCAGGAAGAGAAAGGAATTTATTCTTGTTTCCAACTCTTTTCAGCATCTCTGCAGCTGCAGAAGATAACGATAGTGCTAGCCTCCAGTTCCAAGCACCACTGAGTCATGCCCCCTCAGTTACCAGTGGCAACCAGCTTCATTTGCCTTAGTGGTCTAAGCACAGCTCTGTAAGGTAGCCTTCAGAAGTCCAAGCATAGCTTTGTAGGGTGCCCCTCAAAAGTCAAAATAACAGCTATGCTGTGACCTCTCCAACCTTTGAATTCCCACATTCTGGTAACCTCAGAACTTCTTTTAGTCTCTTAGCCATAAGGATGGTTGCTGCTTCCTGAATTACTACTTTCTGGGGAGTTACCTCAATATTTCCTTTCTGCTCTTTCAGTCTTCCATTTTTGTATCCAATTTCTTGTATTAAGTCCCCTTTTTGAAATACCTAGTATGGTTTCTGCTTTCCTGACTGATATAAAGTCTAAAATGCTTTTGAAACATAAACATCATTTAATTGTTTGGGTGAACTAAGATTAAAGCAGGTATATGTTAGTAAATGAATTACAGTAATACAAGATGTAGCATCCAAAGACAAGTTAAGAAAATATGATTTATGGTGCTTTTTTGTACTTTTTAAACCCTACCTTCAGAGAAATAAAGCTTCCAGCCTTTATATGGTATGAATCGATCCAATGTTGACTGCATTGACTGTGGGGTCTTTGTTGAAAGCAAAAACTGTGGGGTTTGTTCTGAAAAAAATAAAATACTAGGTTAGTAGAAACAGAGTGAACATTTTTCCAATATGCTTCTCTTTCCAAATGAGACTCTCATTAATAGAGTATCCAAATTAGGGGTTTTAGTAAAAATCTGGGACATCAATGTTCAAATACTTACTAAGGAGTAGCATGAAATAAAAGACAAACTGAAGTATGAGATAAACCGCCTTGTATGATAGACGTGAATTGCTTCCTTAAGTGAAAAAAATTGAACAATCATTGACCTCACCTACCAGAAGTACGTTTTCCTGTGGTTTTACTCAGATCAGGTCTGTGTTCTCTTTCTCTCCATTTTCCTGAGAAGTTCCCACCACCTCTTCCCCTTTTCCAGCTTTGAAATCTTCCTCGTCCAAATCCTCTGCCTCTATACTCTCCATTCATCTCTCCTAAAAGATAGATATTAAAAAGGTCTTCACCAAAACTGTAAGGAAAATAGTGCTCTTAAAAATGTATTAATAAAAAGGGAAAAATTAATGTATTCTAGGTTCAAGAGTAGCAAACAGGCTTGCAAAGTTGTACAGCTATGATACAAGACCCAAATATTCTGCAGTTAAGTTTCTAATCTCTATCGCTTTTTAAGGTATACCATAATAGTTTAATAACTATTAAATATGGTTTACGTATACTAGACGCTCACAGGTTAAAAATAAGGACAGGTACTGTACCTGTTTACAAGTCCCCATTACAGAAATGAAAATAGGACAGGTAATTAACTCTATGAAAACTTATTTGCAGTATTTGAGACTTCTTATTATAGGGCAGGACAGGATGAACATAATTCTGGCCTGTGAGACACTAGGGATACATCATCATAGCTTCTTACATACAGTCAATCCTGCAGTGTCACATCCATTTTTTGTGCAGTTTTTCTGTAAATCCAAAACTGTTCTTATAAAATACACGTCTACTTAAAAATGATTCATATCCTAAGTATACAAGTAAATAAAGATATACCTGTACGCTGCAGTGCAATTCATTATCAAATACTCTACCCAAATCCTTACTTAAAAGGGGTTTAGTTAATAAAACAAGATAGTAACTAGAAAGTTCACGATTTAACGGCATGACAGGGCTCCAATAATTAGGCATTACACATTATGAAACTGATGCTCAAAGAAATTAAGCAAACCGATCAAGATCAAAGTTGTTTGTCGACAGTACAGAGATAAAACTTTCAGCCTCCCAAGCTGAGGCGCTCCTTCAACAACGCTGCGTGCCATACCCTTCTCAAACGAGACAATATGCTGAGAACAGTAACAAATTCAAAAAAACGTTAAGAAGTAGGACTGGAGAAAGAGTAAAAAGAAACAGTTGGGTACCTGTGCTTCTTCAAATACTACTTTATTTACATCTCCTAAGGCTAAAGTTCTTACTTGCTTGGGACAGAGGTCCCAAAGCTCTCCTAGTTCACAACTGGGCCGGCTCCAGGATACGCGCAGATCTGTCCGGCCGGATTCTCCCTCCCTCCCTCCCGTAGAGAAGCACCACGGGGCTAAGAGTCTCCGGGATCTTAGCTCCTCAGGCGACTCCTGCCAAGTCCGCAGTTCTCTTCAGCCGCAGCTTTCCTGTCGTCCCCGCGCGGTGCTGAACCCCATCTGTCTCAACGGCTCGGGAAACTCAGTTTCCCCACCGCAGCTTCCAGAAGGTGTCTGTAGCGCACAGCGCCGCAAAAATGCCTCAAGCGAAAATCAGGTCTTCCCCTAAATTCTTTTTTGGCGCTTCAGTGATCCAACTTCCGCTCAAAGAAGCGGCAAGACGAGAGGGGCGGGGCGGAGTGCAGCCAATCAAGGAGTTTGGCCAGACGGAAGCCGAGAGGCTTCCGGAAGCGGTCTTGAGGTCTGGGCCGGAAAGCGGAAGCGGCGTGCAACACGTGGGGGCGGTGCCGGTCGGAGGGCTCCTAGTGCGCCAGGTTGTGGGAAGTGAGGCTGGCGGTGGCGACAACCGAGGAGGAGGGGCGGGACGCCGTGGAGCACGGCGACCGGCTGAGCGTCATGGAGGGCTCAGGGGAGCAGCCGGGCCCACAACCACAGCATCCCGGAGACCACCGCATCCGCGACGGCGACTTCGTGGTGCTGAAACGTGAAGATGTGTTTAAAGCAGTACAAGTCCAGCGGAGAAAGTAAGTCAGATCGCTGATTTTAGGGGTCTCCCGCCCCCACCTTGTAGATACCCCCTCCCTCCAGGTTTCTCCACAGAATTCTTCCGCCAGGGTGCCATTCTTGGCTCTCTCGGTCCCCATTCCCCGCCCTCGTTGTCTCCTCGGGTCTTTCTGTCACAGAAGGCTTTTCCACCAGGATCCCGTCTTCGAACCTCATAATCTCCCTTAACCCTCCTGTTTTTCCCGGAGCCCCCTCCATGATTTCATATCTGGCCGTCCACCTTCAGCATCCTTTTCAGTCTTTCCACAGAGTTCCTTCCCCAGAATTCCATTCTTGGCCCTAGGGTGCCAATGCCTCCCTCTCCACACCCTAATCACCTGTCCTGAAGTTCTTTCCCTAGGACCTTGGGATCTTCACTGTCTTTCCAGAGACACCCCCTCCTTTCTTCACTTTAGGATCTCATCCTTGTCTCCAGAGTCTCCTTCAGGTTCCCCCTTTTTTTCCACCATAGATCCTCCTTCTTCCCTAATCCCCCAGTCAGGATCTATCCCACAAAAAATGAAACGTCTCCTACCTAGTCTGGCTTTCTATCCTCTTCTCTACCCAAGCAGGATACACAGAATAGATGAAGGAGACAATTCACCACAGAGTGTGGAATCACTTTGAGTTTCCCTCGTTTTACTCACCAAAGGATTCAACGCTGGGAAAATTGCTAAAAAGCAATTTGCTCAAGGCCTCAGAACTCCAAATTAGGTTTGGTTTGTGCACCTGCTGGCTAGTATCGCTCTGTTTTATAGAAGTAAAGAAGTGGGATTTTGATAACTTTCTGGAAGGGCTGGTGAGGTTGTTAAGTCCTAAGAGCTTATTAATGGTGAAAATTTATTGGGATATTTGGATTAATTTATCTGAGAAATACAACCACAGTGTTTTTGTTTTTGAGACGGAGTCTTGCTTTGTCACCCAGGCTTTAGGGCAGTAGTGCAATCTCGGCTCATTGCAGCCTCTGCCTCCGAGGTTCAAGCGATTCTCCTGCCTCAGCCTCCCTAGTGGCTGGGACTCTGGCACCATCACACTCGGCTAATCTTTTTTTTTTTTTTTTGTATTTTTAGTAGAGACGGGGTTTCACCATGTTGGCCAGGCTGATCTCGAACTCCTGACCTCAGGTGATCCACCCGCCTCGGCCTCCCAAAGTGCTGGGATTACAGGTGTGAGCCACCGCACCTGGCCACAGTTTCTTTTGAGCTAGGTTATTGTATTACTTTTGACAGAGATAAGTTGAATGCAATGTCAGGAGAACAGCTTTCTGCAGACTGGGAAGTATGAGATTTGGAATTTCTGATAAGTACTTACTTCAGATGAATTCTTTTACTCCTGGTTTAAGCAAACTGTTGACTGGTATTTAAGGTGAAGCAAGCATCATAAAATAGTCAAGAAACAAGTCTCCAGAGCACTAAGCTGGTGATAACCAAGCTTTTTGCACAAGCACTAATTTAGTAAAGATAAAAAGTTTCTTTTATGAGGGGTATGTTTCTTTTAGTCCGGAAATGTAATACCTGCACCAACCTTTAACCATTTTTAAATTCTTCTTTTTTTTCTTTTTTAAACTAATTAATTTTTTTTGCAGAGACAGAGTTTCACTATGTTGTCTAGGCTAGTCTCCAATTCCTGGGCTCAAGTAATTCCGGCCACCTCAGCCTCCCAAAGTGCTGGGATTACAGGCATGAACAGTAGTTGACCTTCCCCTTTTGTGGTGCCAAAAGGGTTGGAGACCACTGCCCTAAACATTTATTTGGAAATACTTTTCAACAGGCCCTCTTCTTCGCAGAAGTCATAGTGGCAGTTTCCATTTTATTTAGGAAATGACTCTCTCAGCTCAGCTGCATCCCAGGTCAGACTCCCTCATCACCCTTGGGGCTACACTCATCTGATTGGGCAAAAAACAGTCCAGGCTCTCTGAGAAGTAGACTCTGCAAATCCTACTCCTTCCCAGTAAAGATGTGGCCTCCTTATCCCTCTAACGGGGCCCCACATTCCCGACTGGGGCAGTGACCTGTCAAACCAGCCAGTTTTAAGTGACACGCATCATCCCCTCTGCATATCACATAGGCTCTCAGAGAGGTAAACCCACCCATCTCAGATCCAGTGTTTTTGTTTGGTTTGTCTGTTTGTTTGTTTTGTGAGACGGGATCTCACTCGGTCCCCCAGGCTAGAGTGTAGTGGCGTGAACTTGGCTCACTGCAACCACTGCCTCTTGGGCTCAAGCAATCTTCCACCTCAGCCTCCTCAGTAACTAATTTGTGTACTTTTTGTAGAGAAACTCCTGAATTCAAGTGACCCTCCTGCTTCAGCCTCCCAAGTAGCTGGGACTACAGGTGTGTGCCACTACACCTGGCTAATTTTTTTATTTTTTGTAGAGACGGAGTTTTTCCCCGTCAGCCAGGCTGGTCTCAAACTCCTGGACTCAAGTGACCCACCTGGCCTCCCACAGTTCTGGGATTACAAGTGTGACCCACCACACCTGGCCAGATCCAGTGTTTCAAAGCACCTAGGTGATTAAAGGATGAGGATAGGGGGTGCACATCTGGGCTGAGCTGAATTGCAACATCTGAGGAGGTTTACATTAGCAAATATTTTGAGTGTCTGTTACATTCTGTTGTATGTAAGTATCTAGGGACCCAGCAAATAACAAGAATTGGCCATATCTGAATCACTTACGATCATACAGGATTTCCCTCAGATGGTTTGAGTAAGCTTTAATGAAGATGTGACTCAAAAGTGTGGCCGATTTAGGGAACCAATAAAGGTGACACACCCAGAGACCAGCAATGGTGGTAAGCCTCTGACACGGGAGCGTGGGTGATGTGGCAGTATATTCTGTCGTAATCAGCTTCCTGGTGGCACAGAGAAAGGAAGAGAAGGAGTGGGATGGGGCACAATCAGAATTAACCACCACATGATTCCCAGAATTCAGTGTTCTGTGCACATGGGCCATGTCCTGAAGCTAGGTGGGCTTTCTACCGTCCTTAGGTCTTTGCTGGAGTAGACCGTGTGGTATAGTGGAAAGAATGAGGCTTGGGGTCAGACACAGATTTGAATTTGAATCCCAGCTCCAACAACACCTTGCAACTGTGAATCTTGGACAAGATACTTCTCCCTGGGCCTCGGATTGCTCTTCTGGAAAGAGCTATGTCCCAGGATTACCGTGAGAATTAAATCAAAAAGTGTGAATCACACCTCGCACACACTGCCTAGCCCCTGGTTGGCACTCAGCAGATGTTAGTTTTCTTTTGAGAAGAAAGCATTGTGTTCCTGTGGGATTTCTCTTTTAAATTGCAATAAGATAAAAAATCTATGTCATAGGAAACCTCAAGTTGCCTGGTCCTCAGTAGAGCATTGTCAGTGTTAGGCTCCATTTCCAAGTGTGTAGATTGTCAGTGTTTATTTGCAAGTATAATTTGCTTTTATTAGATAATTTTCAAATAAAATGGCCGATCAGACCAAGCCCAAGAAATTTGTTAAATCCTTGTTACTTCGATGAGTCTTTGCTTCCCCTTTCCAAAATTCAGTGTTCTTGTGGCTTATTCATTAATTTTACGTCTCTATCCCAACCAGGTTCTCTCTAGTTCCTTTGTTGCTTTATGTTCAGAGATAATGCTGCTGATCATCCATTGTGGAGACCACTTTTGAAATAAACTGTAGTGAACATGTCTTTTCTGTACTGGATAGAAAAGATATTCAGTTAATTGATTACTTTTTTTCCCTAGAAAAGTAACTTTCGAAAAACAGTGGTTCTACCTGGATAACGTCATTGGCCATAGTTATGGAACTGCATTTGAAGTGACCAGTGGAGGAAGTCTACAGCCCAAGAAGAAGAGGGAAGAGCCTACTGCAGGTGCACATTTTGGATGCGTGAAATAGATGCTCTCCAACTGACTAGTCAGAAACATCTCAGCCTCCACCTAATTCCCAAGTGCTAGGCCATGCTATCCCAAAAGAAATCTTAACTCATAATCTAAGAACTGCAGCTCAGTGGAGTGAAGCAAGTACTGCCTTTGGCCATGAGATAACCTGGATTCTGGCTCCAGCCCACCATTAAATGGTTCTCTGTTCTTGGGCCAGGCATTTAATCCTATGAGTCGTTGCTGCGTCATTGCAAGAACATAATGTAAAGTTCTTTCAGTGCCCAGAAGTTATGTAACAGCTGTGAGGTGGTTAGCATATGGTGTAGAGGTTAAGAGGTCTGGTTTTGGATCCAGCTAAGTTCAATTTCTACCTTCATCACTTGCCTTGTACCGTTGGGCAACTTATTTGATTTCTGTGAGTCTTATATCCTTATATATGTAAAATAGGGTCATAAACACATTTAATGCCTAGGTTGTATTGAGTGTTCTATGATATGACTCATAGGAAGTTCTGAATAGTGTCTTGCTTTTAGTAAGGGCCCATAATTTTAGCTATTACTATTATTATTTCTTAACAACCTCTTGTCCAAAAGCTGTTATTGTTAATTAAAATTATATTTATTAAAATGAACATTGAGAGTATCTTATTAATTAAAACACAAGTAATTATTTGAAGTTAAATACTGTTAAAGTTTTGAGTCAAACCTGTTATTTAGATACATTTAAATTAATATCCATATTTTTACTAAGCACCAAATATATGCCAGGTATAATTTGGCGCTGCAATTATAGCAGTTCATAAGATAGACTGTCGTATAAAATGTGCTTACCAGTTGGAACACCAAAAATAATCAAGTAGACAAGCAAACAGCATGATTTCTGATGGTGAAGTGACACATGCTATGAAGATAATAAAGCAGGGGCGTGTACTAATTTGGTAAAGCAAGAGAATGAGCTCAGCCTCAAGTGATAGAAAGGATCCAGCCACTCAGACATCTGTCGTAGAACCTTCCAGGCAGAGGAAGCAGCAGGTGCCAAAAGCCTGCTGTGGGACCTTGCTGGGTGTGTTCAAGGAACAGAAAGAAGGCCATTGTGGCTGAAGCTAAAGTGTCAAGAGATCAGGCCAGGAATGATAGGCAGGGGCCAGATCATTTATGACCTTGCAGGTCATCTTTGGAGTGTATTCTTATTGCTATGGGAAGCCACTGTATGGTTTTAAGCATGGGGTAGATGAGTCAAATTGCATTTAAACAAAGAGCACTCTGGCATCCAGGTGGATAGTAGGGGGGCAAGACTGGGAGCAGGAAGATGACTTAGAGGCTTGGAGTAGTTTTGGCAGGAAAGGATAGTGTGATGGGGGCAGTGCAGCTGGGAGGCCAGACTTGAGTGGCTGATGGACTGGATGTGGATATGAACTCAGAAAAAGAAAGTGTCAAATAATTTCAGACCATAAATGTCAATAGAGCAATTTCTTTCCTTAGAGACTAAAGAAGCGGGCACTGATAATCGAAATATAGTTGATGATGGGAAATCTCAGAAACTTACTCAAGATGACATAAAAGCTTTGAAGGACAAGGGCATTAAAGGAGAGGTAATATTCAAAGGATTTTTAGTTTTGTTTTTGTCTGTTTGGCATTTAGGAAACTGTTGGGTTTTTAAAGCAGACTGTACCTAAGGTAAAACAAAAAAATAACGTTATAGCTTTGATAGAAATAGGTTGAAATGTACATGTTACTCAACATTTCAAAGATTTTATGTCTTATATACAGGAATATAAGTGAATGACATTACTAATGTCAGTGGTAGAGAATGTAATAACAGTGCATATCAGGATTTAACTTTGTTCATTTTCAGTAATGTTTTCAGCCAGTGTCTTCAGAAATTAGTTTCCTTTACCTCTCTTCTCCTTTTGTTGGATATCTCTGTTCTTTTACGTTGGTTTAAGTGGAGTTATAAAGTACTTGTATTTTATTATAAATTCCAAATAGAGTATAGAAATATAAAGTTCATCTATTTGGACTTCTGTGGAAAAGGGATTGGAGAATCAGACCATTGGATCCATTCTTGGGTAAGAAGCCTTTGGAAATTACTTGTTTTGTGAAAGTAAAGTTTCAGAAAATCTACTTGCTCCTTTTCTTATAGGAAATAGTTCAGCAGTTAATTGAAAATAGTACAACATTCCGAGACAAGACAGAATTTGCCCAAGATAAATATATTAAAAAGAAGAAAAAAAAGTAAGTAGTTTTTATTTTAAAAGGCCCACAATATTAAACTTCTTATATGTTTATAAAATATACATTTTATTACAAATAAAATATTTTAAGTCATTTTTTTAAATCAGCGTTCTGTTTTTTCTTCCCCCAGATATGAAGCCATCATTACTGTTGTGAAGCCATCCACCCGTATTCTTTCAATTATGTATTATGCAAGAGAACCTGGAAAAATTAAGTACGCTTTGTTTCCTTTCAAAAGTATAATTGGGGGAAATATGTCTTTAAGAAAGTCATGATTTTAAGTAAAATGAAAAAGCTTGCTCACCTGCATAAAGTATCCTCCTACCTCATAAATTGTAAGTCCTTTTACTGTCACCTCCAAAGCAATCAATAATCTTATCAACACAATTTTAATAAAGCAAACAAAACTTGAAAAATGATGATTAAAATAATAGGCTTTACTTAGCTAAAAATGAACAAATTATTGTTTTTACTTTAGCCACATGAGATACGATACACTAGCCCAGATGTTGACGTTGGGAAATATCCGTGCTGGCAACAAAATGATTGTGATGGAAACGTGTGCAGGCTTGGTGCTGGGTGCAATGATGGAACGAATGGGAGGTAAGATTTAATATTTCCATTTTCAACAAAACCCCACCCTGATGTGAGTAAAGGTGGTCCAAAAATGTAAACTCATGGAAAGCCAAATTGAATTACTTCAGGGTTAACAAAGTGACTTGGGTGAACCTGCACGGCTCCTAGCATGGGGACCTTCTTACACAGTCTCCATCACCCAGCCCCCCACCCATGGGTACCCCCAAACCCATGGCAATTGTCCTTTCTAGCTTCACTGTCAGTGGGCATGATGCTGGAGCCTGTGGCTGGCTAGGGCTTTCGGGACAGTGATTTTAGTAAACTCCTGGGTAGCTGGTGCTCATTTCATTGGGCCTAAATTGAAGGGATTGAGTGGGAAGATTACTAAGCATGTATTCTCTCTGGAAGAATACAACACAGCCTGATTTGTCTGGTTTTTTTCTGACCCCATAGAAGGTAAGAACTTGTAACTGCTCCATTTGAGGATCGGAGTGAGGGGAAGCAGAGTCCGTCACCAATCATGTGACATCCAAATTTGCAGACACAGGGTTTTACAATAGTATCAAGTGGGGATAAGCTTCTTTGAGTCTTCCTGCTATCTGCTTTAGAATTATATTACCTCCATTGGTAATACTCATAGACTCCAAACAGACTCCCTGAGGAGCTGCACCATCCTTCAGCCTCTGAATAAAGTACTAATAGAAAGACCTTCAGTCTCATTACTGTGGAGGACTCACTGAGGGTTTACGTAGTCTAGAGTCACTCCACGGGCAGATGTTTGTTTCTTTTATCTGTTCAGGTTTTGGCTCCATTATTCAGCTATACCCTGGAGGAGGACCTGTTCGGGCAGCAACAGCATGTTTTGGATTTCCCAAATCTTTTCTCAGTGGTCTTTATGAATTCCCTCTCAACAAAGTGGACAGTCTTCTACATGGAACATTTTCTGCCAAGATGTTATCTTCAGAGCCAAAAGACAGTGCTTTGGTTGAAGAAAGTAATGGCACACTGGAGGAAAAACAGGCTTCTGAACAAGAGAATGAAGACAGCATGGCAGAGGCCCCAGAGAGCAACCACCCAGAAGACCAGGAAACAATGGAAACAATTTCTCAAGATCCAGAACATAAGGGGCCTAAAGAGAGAGGAAGCAAAAAAGATTATGTAAGGATGCCAAGAGTCCCCACCACCCCCATAATCTCAGTCCCTCAGTTAACTTCAGTTAAGTCATGAGATTTAGTTTGGCTTTGGTGTATTAGCTCCCAAGATGATAACTATCAAAACAGAGAACGAGTGTGTGTACATGTATACAAACGTGTGATTCGGTCTTCGGGATGGAGCTTTAGGATACAGAAGCGTTGCATAGATAGCTTAATCATGGTTTTTATAGTATATAGGCTTTCTTGTGTATTTGCAACTTCCTTATAAACAACCTGCTTCTATTGGTTTAGTCCAAGTTGATAAATATTGTTGAAATGTTTTGACAGGCCAGAGCATTTCCATAAATTTGACTGAAAGACCCCAGTACATTGATTTCTTATTTTTCTTTTTGAAGATTCAGGAAAAACAGAGGAGACAAGAAGAGCAGAGGAAAAGACATTTAGAGGCTGCCGCTCTGCTGAGTGAAAGAAACGCAGATGGGTGCGTTGATGGAAGAAGGCAGGAGACTCCTCAGTGCATGTGGGCTCTGCTTCAGACAGATTGGCATTCTCTTTCTCCTTGTCTGCTTTGACTCTAGTGGGACCCGAGATGAGGATTTTGTCTTGGGGGTTTTTTTAAAGAAAGGAGGCTGAGGCTGGCAGGGGTGGGGAATTGATGATGCTGGTTTCAGGGTTTCAGAAGAAATTGAATCTTCTCCATCACTGCATCAAGATGGGCCCTGTGGTCCCACTGGATGCAGGGGATGGGGCACTCAAATGCTGCGATACAGGCTATAACAGATATCCACAAAGCAGCTTATGCAGTGTTGGATTTGTTTCCAGGTGATTTTTTTTAAAAAATCAAGAATGTCATTAAATGCGACTTAGAGTTGCCAAGTACCACAAGAGCTTCTAACCTAGTTCGCGTTTCCTAGAAAGAAATAGCTCATGATTGTATTCTGTTTTGGATTTCTAGAATGTTATATTTAAATCTCTTCTCTTTGTGAGTCATGCAAATTAAATACATGATCATTTTAAATGCATTTTAAAACCTGTGCTCCACTTTGAGGGTGTAGAGAAATAATTTGTCTGGCATTTTCCTTACAGTTTAATTGTAGCTAGTCGTTTCCACCCCACTCCCCTGCTGCTGTCTTTGCTGGACTTTGTGGCCCCTTCAAGGCCGTTTGTGGTCTACTGTCAGTACAAAGAGGTAATACTGGAATGGAATGGGCAGGAATTCTTATGTCTGAATGTTGATTCTTAAACTGCATCCCAGGAAGTAGTTCTTAACAGAATTCTGTTGTTGTCTGCAGCCTCTGTTGGAATGCTACACAAAACTGCGGGAGAGGGGAGGGGTCATCAACCTCAGGCTGTCTGAAACCTGGCTCAGAAATTATCAGGTACGTGTTCTTACAGCCAGTCCCAAGAGCTGCCCTCCCGAGACTTGACTTTCCTTGCAGTAGTACTAGAAGTCATTAAATAGAGTTATCTCAGCCAGGCACAGTGGCTTATGCCTGTAATCCCAGCACTTTGGGAGGCCAAGGCAGGCAGATCGCTTGAGCCCAGGAGTTCAAGACCAGCTTGGGCAACATGGTGAAACCCTGTCTCTACAAAAAAAAATACATAAATTGGCTGGGCATGACCCTGTATCTACAAAAAATATAAAAATCAGTCGAGCATGGTGGCAGGTGCCTGTAGTCCCAGCTACTCAGGAGCTGAGGTGGAAAGATTGCTTGAACCCTGGAGGTCGAGGCTGCAGTGAGCCGAGATCCCACCACTGCACTCCAGCCTGGGTGACAGAGTAAGACCCTCTCTCAAAAACAAAACAAAATAAAAATAGAGATGTCTCTGTTTCTTTCTACAGGGATGGAGATTTCTCATGGCTGTTACTCAGAGAATATGCCCCTGACTTTTTGTGACCCTTTTTTTCTCTTGTTATGTCAGAATATATTACTCTGTAACTCTGCCCTAAAGGCATTTAAAATGCAAACCATTATGGTTCTTATTTCCCCAAGGCCTCAGTATCACTGTGGATGATGTAATTGACAATAGCAAAATTCCCAGGTGGATGAGAAACTGGCCCTTTCCTCTCTGCCAGGATGTTTTTGCAGCAAGTTTTCAGGATTTACTGGTGGGCTCTGTGTCAGTTCAGGTCTTCTGGAAGACATATGCTAAGATGGAAGTTGAAGTGTAAGAGATTTATTGAGGGAAATGCCTTAGAAAGATAAGGGGAGAGGGAGCAAGATTGGTGGTGCAGGTTGATGCCTGGGCAAGGAGCGGGTAGAGAAAGGAGGATGGTAGGAAGAGCCTGCAGTGCTGCTCTGGAGAAAGTCTCCATGAGGCTGATGGCGAGCCCAAGTGGAAAGATCGCCATTCAAGGAGCCCTGTGTTAAGCAGAAATGCTCCAGCTCTGGTACCCATGCTCAGTTACTGACTGGAAGCAACCCATGGCCTCCCTCGGTATGAATGCTGCAGTGGATCCCAAAGGAGCGGCAGCTGGAGGTGTTCTACTGCCTGAATGCCTCTCAGCTGTTCCCTCATGAAGGGAGATCTGAGGGGAGCACCTCCATGCTGCCGTAGGCCCCGTCTCATTGCTTGGTGTCTTACCATACTGTAGTGGGGATGCTATTGAGCCTTGGGTAACCCTGCCCTTTGTGGAGGTTGTCTGTCTTGGCTAAGGTTACAGGAGAAAGAGGAGAGAAGTTGCCTTGGCAGAGTTAACAGGGTAGCGGGGAAGGGAGGTTTGGAGTGTAGTACATTCAGTAGCAACTTCTCCATAGACCCAAGCTCCATTATTGGCCATGAAGCTTCCTGAAGCCAGGAGAAAGAAAGCTATATGCACAGTTCTAGAGTACTGCCAAGACCATTACCCATTCTCCGCCAGAAACATGCTTCAGTTTCTAGATAAACCTGGGCTGAACTGAAAACTGCTTCAGTTCTTTTTCTTCTCTTTTTTTTTTTTTTTTCATTTTTGAGACAGAGTCTCGCTCTGTCGCCCAGGTGGGGTGCAGTGGCGCGATCTTGGCTCACTGCAACCTCTGCCTCCCGGGTTCAAGCAATTCTCCTGCCTCAGCCTCCCGAGTAGCTGGCATTACAGCTGTGTGCCACCACGCCTGGCTAATTTTTGTATTTTTAGTAGAGATGGGGTTTCACCATGTTAGCCAGGCTGATCTCAAACTCCTGACCTTGTGATCCACCTGCCTCAGCATCCCAAAGTGCTGGGATTACAGGCGTGAGCCACCATTCCCGGCCAGTTTTATTTTTCAAAAGAAAATCAATTAAACCAATTTCTACACTTTTCTTTGCATTGTAATGTGAAGAAATTAGTCCTTAGAAGTTGGTCCATTTAAAGCCTGGTGCCGTGGCTCGTATCTGTAATCCCAGCACTTTGGAAAGCCAAAGTGGGAGGTTCACTTGAGGCCAGGAGTTCGAGGTTACAGTGAGCCAAAATCTCACTACTGCACTCCAGCCTGAGGAACAGTGAGACCCTGCCTCTTAAAAAGAAAGAGAGAGAGAGAAAGGAAGGAAGGGAGGGAGGAAGGAAGGGAAGGAAGGAAGGAAGGGAGAGAGGGAGGGAGGGAGGGAAAAGAAAAGAAAGAAAAAAAAATGTCCATTTAAATCATCAAGAGAACCTGTGTTGTTTAAATTCTGATTTTTGGTATATGTGTTGTTAGCATGGACTTTATTGTCTTAGGAAAGCATGAATGTCTTTTCTGTCTTGATTAGGTTTTGCCAGATCGAAGTCATCCTAAACTGCTGATGAGTGGAGGTGGGGGTTATCTTCTCTCCGGCTTCACCGTTGCCATGGACAACCTTAAAGCAGACACCAGCCTCAAATCTAATGCAAGCACTTTAGAATCACACGAGACTGAGGAGCCTGCAGCTAAAAAACGAAAATGCCCAGAGTCTGACTCTTAACCCTTTTGAGAATTGCTCTGAATTTTGTTCTCAGGCATTATACAGTTAGTAATTAAACTTTAAATGCCATTACTACTTGTTTTTTCATATCCCAAGAATAAGAACATGTCTATGTACCCGTTTCTAGGAAGGAGGAGTATATGCCTTTTGTCTATTTCTGACACAGATGCATTTGGTCTGTCAAAACTGCAACCATGGGGTATGTAGTATGACCAACTGCATTTAACAAAACTCCTCTAAGTACTTCTAAATATTCTGTGCAAATATCTTGAGAACTTCAACATCCTAAAAATGTGTTTCTACAAGACTTTATATTTTAAGCTAAGTGGAATAATACAACGTAACTAAAACATGGCGGGTACCGAAAGGAGGGCAATTCATGGAAGAAATTTCCTCTGTTCATTCCGTTCTCTTCAACCTAAGCAATATGGATGTGTGAGTGTGTGATTTATTATGGTACCAAAAATGTCCACCTTCTTTCCTGCAGCGGAATAAGCTTTTTTGAAATGCTGAGGTTTTATTTTAATAGTTGACAACCTGGGAAAGTTCTGAGTATTTATTTTACTGCTCTTTTTTGTGCATAGAAAGGTTTAGTAGGGTACTTTTTTGCATTAATTTGCCAATACTCTTATTCTTTGTTCTAAATAAAGTGACTAGAATTTTTGTGTACTATTCAATTAAAGGAAACAAATGTCTTTTCCCCCTCTATGGTCTTATGGATACACATTTGCACACACACACATATGTATATAGATGTTGGTATATATACACACATATATTTATATATACACAGATATATACATACACATGCAAGTGGAGACATAGATTGTACCACCTGTATGAATATGTATGTACACATGGGGACAGAAAGAGTGTGCAGTCTATTTGAACTGTATCAAAGTCTTGTGCAGGACTTAGACCAATTCTCATTGTATTAGTGTCATTCCTTGTCAAATGTCCCTAAAGTGCCTTTCTTGATTATTAATGCTGAAGAACTCTGTCATGATTAGATGGTTACCCTTTCTAAGCTCTGAAAAACTCTAATCATTTGATCATGTGCTGTAGCAAAGAAAGTGTTTAGAATCAGCCAAGGCTCTTGTTCATTTGAGAGATTGAGTCTTGCTCACTGGAACATGGTCATCGTTTGCGTTGCTCCTGTCATAGAATAGGCCTGTATCATACAGCAAGGAACATCTCAGAAAAAAAATTTTTTTTCCAAATAGCATGTGCTATGCCAATGTGATTACTAAGTACAATTTTGAGTCCTTTATCCTAATTGCTATTAAAGAATAAAAATGTCGGCCGGGCACAGTGGCTCATGCCTGTAATCCCAACACTTTGGGAGGCCCAGGCAGGCGGATCACCTGAGGTCAGGGGTTCAAGATCAGCCTGACAAACATGTTGAAACCCCATCTCTACTAAAAATTAGAAAATTAGCCATGCGTGGTGGCTAACGCCTGTAATCCCAGCTACTTGGGAGGCTGAGGCAGGAGAACCGCTTGAACCCGGGAGGCAGAGGTTGCAGTGAGCCGACATCACGCCATTGCACTCCAGCCTGGGCGACGAGTGAAACTGTCTCAAAAAATAAATAAAAATGAAAATGTTTCCTACTGTGATTCTTCTAACAGTGATGCAGTCAGTGATGTCCTGTGGGCTTTCGGCCGATTGTGACGTGGTCTGTCTATTGTAGAGGACATGCCTGGATTGGCACCTCACGGAGTGTGTTGCAAGCTGGTGTCACACACACATGTAGCTAATCAAGTTTGGACAAGGAGAACAGAAAACTGCATAGATTAGAATCAGTAGTGGCTGGTCTCCTGGTTACTGGTTTGCAAGTTGCATTCCGTTCCCTAAATCTTTTCTCTTGAGTTTCTTGAGCAAGGGGTCTGGGGTCTGAGCTACCAAGGCCCTGCATGCTCATGTTACCTTGTGAACTCATCTTACCAATGCCAACAGCATAAGTTAATCTGTATTTTTTTTTTTTCTCATTCATATAGTTTACTTAATCTGCGTACAGATGATTGAATTCTGTGGTTTGCAAACTTAGCATTGGAAAACTTAGATTCCCCTGGAGGGCTTGGTAAGCAGAGGCCACTGGGCCCTCCACCCCACAGAATAAGATTTCAGTACTTCTGGAGTGGTACAGAGCATTTGCATTTCAAGTAGTTTCCAGGTGATATTGGTGCTGTTGGTCCAGGAACCGCCCACTGGGAACCACGACTGTGTGCATGCACATCATGGGTACAGCTAAATACAGGATGTTTTTGTCTTGTGTTTAAAATGGACATTCACCTTTGGAGCAGATGAACGGATAATTTTATGATTTTTGGACATCCAGCCACCAGAGGAGTTATGTAGAATAGCACTTTAATGAATGGCAATCAAGAAGTCAAAGACAAAAATCATTCTGTAACATCCATCCTGTTCCTCCACTGGACTAGGGTACTTGGCAATATAGCATGGCACCCATTACAGGGCATTTTTTAGCTTAAAGGTACACTCAAATTGTATGAAGCAAATACTGAGCAATCATTCATGCATTGGTTGTATATTGAAAAGCCAAAAATAGCCTTTTCTCAATACATAGTGAAGCTTTGGGAAAAAAAAATGGAGTGTTTGCATGTTGTTTTAAAGTGTTGGTTGTAAGTATTGCAAGAACAGTACTAAATACTAAAACGCATGTCCTAAAAATCCATGATCAGGATTCACTTTATCCTGATTTTGTAATGCCTTTAAGTGCAGTGCTAGAAAGGAACAGAGTGTATCTAATAACTTGAAATATGATGTTGCCTCTAGGCTAGTATTAATTTTTGTAAAAAGGATTATAATTTTCCTTGAACTTAACTATGTAGCACAGGTCAGATGGTGAGAGAGGTAAGTCCCTGAATAGCTACTTAAAAAGCAACCAGTAACCTTTCAACTACCGTATTAACCTTTACTAGGCACCCACAGCTATCTGAGTTTTTATGAGAAAGGGCAAGATCTTTGAAGCATAGGAAATGAATATCATACTCTACCCACTCCTTTTGGAAGGCCCTTTTTACAGTTCTATTAATAACCTGGGGCTTTTTTGTTTTTGTTTTTTTTTTTTTTTACTCTTAGCTGAGATATCATTAAAACAAGACTGGAAAGATTTTGACATTTCATTTTTGCTTTGACAGGTAACAAGGTGCTGTGGATATTTTGTTTTGAAAGAGGGGTAGGTCAATCTGTTGGATGTTTGGTCTACATAGTGTTATAATTCTAAGCCAACAAACTTTAAAGAGTGGAGAAATTAATCCAGGGGAAATGATAGCAGGCATTCTTTTGCCTTTTGGGAATACTTTTCCTTAATCAAATGCTTAGGTGGGTAGTGACCTCTCAGTGCTCTCCTGTCACCTGTGAGTGACACAAAATAGGAGCTATAAACTAGATTAAATTAAATTAAATAATTATATAGACCAGACTTGGTGGCTCACACCTGTAATCCCAGCCCTTTGGGAGACCAAGGAGGGTGGCTCACTTGAGGTCAGGAGTTTGAGACCAGCCTGGCCAACATGGTGAAACCCCTTCTCTACTAAAAATACAAAAATTAGCTGGGTGTGGTGGCGGCACCTGTAATCCCAGCTAGTTGGGAGGCTGAGGCAGGAGAATCACTTGAACCTAGGAGGCAGAGGTTGCAGTGAGCTGAGATCACACCACTGCACTCCAGCCTGGGCATCAGAGTGAGACTCTGTCATTCATAAATAAATAAATAAAGTCATATGGTGACAGATTCAAGAAAGGAGATAAAAATAAGAAAGAATATGATTAATTTAAATCAGCGGGCAGCAAATCTGGCCCACTACAAGTTTTTTGTATGGCCTGTAACGAAAGATTTTTACATTTTTAAGTGGTTGAAGCGGAAAAGTAAAAAAAATAAAAATAAAAAATAAAATAAATTTGTGACATGGGAAAATTACATGAAATTCAAACTGAAGTTTTATTGGAACGCAGCCACTCTCAATTTGTTTATGTATTGTCAATGGCTGCTTTCACACTGTGGCAAAGTTGAATAATTGTGATAGAGCCCATATGGTCTCAAAGCCTAAAATACACGCTCTCTGGGCCTTTGTGAAAAACTTTGCTGATCACTGATTTCAGTGGCGTGATGAGACGGATTGTGGCACTGGTGGAAACGGGAGAGCAGCCCTTTGGAGCAGCCACAGTGGGAAGCAGGTTTGGTGTGGGCAGCAAGCAACAATGGACAGTAGTGTGACATCCAGAGCTCCTTCTCGGTCCGCTGGACCTATCAGCAGTGTCTGACACCGTCCATCCCTCTCCTTGCCAGGCTTTTCCTCCCTTGGCTTCTAGAACACCACTCTCTCCTGGTTTCCCTCCTACCTCTCCAGCCTTTCTTTCTGTATCTCTCTTACTGGTTCTTCCTCATCTCTGAAACTTCTAAACATTGGCATGCCTCAGGGCTCAGCACTTGCACTTCTTCCTTTTCTTGTCTACACTAACTCCCTAGGGTGTTTGGAGGATTTGGGGACTGATCAAAGAGAAAGACATGACCATGAGATGGCAGCAGCACACACATATTTTATTGGTGATGGTGACACTCTGACAGGTTTGCATAGGGGTAGGGGGATGTCCCTTAGAGCAAGAGTCTGTGCAAAGAGCACACACTACAGGTGTTGCTACTCAGAAGGAGAGGAGGAAAGGCAAGGATACCCCCGAGGGAGGGGAGAGTCAGAAACAAGGCTTATGTGTCTAGGTGGTGTTGCACAGCAGTACAGAGGGGAGTCTCTGGGTCAGAGAGCTCCGAAGGACAGGGACGGCTTGAGGTTTGTGTTTTTGTTTTTGGCTTTATTTTTCTGAGACAGGGTCTCACTCTGTCACCCAGGCTGGAGAGCAGTGGCATGATCTCAGTTCACTGCAACCTCCACCTCCCAGGCTCAAGTGATCCTCCCACCTCAGCCTCCCAAGTAGCTGGGACTACAGGCGCATGCCACCACATATAGCTAATTTTTGTATTTTTAGTAGAGACAGGGTTTCATTACATTGCCCAGGCTGGTCTTGAACTCCTGAGCTCAAGCGATCTGCCTGCCTCGGCCTCCCAAAGTGCTGGGATTAACATCGCACTTAAGGTCTTATAACCACAAGGCTCTATGTTATCAATGGCCAACAGATGCTGGGTATAGTTTCACCGGGTATGTACCAGCAAGGCCCTGAATGGCTAAAAATTGGCATAAAATTTGTTTAAAATAATTGGATGTGTAAAAATTTGAGTTTGGCTTCTGCAGTAATCAGTGTCAGCCTGCAATGAAGAAATAAACAATCTATGAGCCAATAAACAGAGGCCATCTTTCACTCATTTATATAACTCTAGGTGATCTCACCCAGTTTTAAGGCTTTAAATACCGTCTCTATGATGATGACTCCCACATGCAGTCTTCAACACAGGCCTTTTCCTCCAGCACTGGCTCATATACCCAGCTCAACACCTCTGCTGGGTATCTATTCACGTCTCAAACTTAACAAGTTCAAATCTGAGCTCCCCATCTCTACCCTTCCAAACCAGTCCCTCCTGCAGTCTCCCCATCTGTTTTCCCAGATGCTCAGGCCTAAAGCCTTGGTATTCTCCTCTCATTCCCTCATGCCACACCAAAACCAGCAGCCCTACGTGTCAGCTCTGTCTCCAGAATAGATCTAGAATTCTACCACTTCTCCCCATTCCCAGTGCCACCACCTTGGACCCTGCCATCACAATGACCCACCAGGGTCATTACAGTGCCCTCCTTATTGGTTTCTGTGTTTCTGCCTTCACTTCCCCTACAGCCATCACTCAACCCAGCAGCCAGTGTTGTTATAAACATAAAGCAAATCCTATCAGTCATCCGTTGAGAACTCTCCAATTGTAAAACAAAAGTCCTTACCAGGACCTACAGAGAGCCCTGCGTGACCTGGCCCCTGCTGCCTCTCTAAGCTCACCTCCTACGACAGTCTCCCACTCTGGCCTCTTGTTCTTCTTCAAACATGCCAAACACATTCCTGACCCAGGGCCTTTGCACCTACTATTCCCTCTGCCTGAAATGTCCTTGCCCCAGGTGTCCACATGGCTCACACCCTTTCTTTAGGTCTTTCATCAACAGATACTTTCTCAGTGAAGCCTGTCATATATGTGAGTGTCAGGATCCTGGACTGCAGAATTGTAATTACTGCAATTAATTAATTATTTCAGCACCTGAAATCTCCTGATTATATTATGTGTTTGTTGTTCGTTTGTTTGTTTTGAGACAGAGTTTCGCTCTTGTTGCCTAGGCTGGAGTGCAGTGGCACGATCTCAGCTCACTGCAACCTCCATCTCCTGGGTTCAAGTGATTCTCCTGCCTCAGCCTCCCGAGTAGCTGGGATTAGAGGCAACTGCCACTACACCCAGCTATTTTTTTGTATTTTTAGTAGAGTAGAGTTTCACCATGTTGACCAGGCTGATCTCCAACTCCCGACCTCAGGTGATCTGCCTGCCTCGACCTCCCAAAGTGCTGGGATTACAGGGGTGAACCACCCACCCGGCCTCCTGATTATACTATGTTTTACAGTGGCATGGTGTGTATTTTCATTTTGTAATAATAGGACCCTTTCTTTCCTCCTGTCCCAGCTCTGTGTTATAACTCCTTCTCGATAAACTTGTCATGATATTATAAATCATGACAATATATTCAAATAAGAAAATAAATCTAAAAGTTAAATTACAGGTGGCTGCATCTGCACACAGATTTGGAGGATGGGGCACTGAGGCCATTGTTTCTCATTGTATTAGATACCTAGGGCTGCCATAACAATGTGCCACAAGCTGAGTGGCTTAAAACAACAGAAAAGTATTCTATTGCATATCTGGAGGCCAGAAGTCTGAAACTGAATTGTTGGCAGAGGCAGTGTTCCCTCTGACAGTTCTAGGGCAGAATCCTTCCTTGACCGTACCAGAAAAATCTGGTAACCCAGGCATTTCTTGGCTTGAAGAGGCATAGCTCCAGTCTCTGCCTCTGTCTCCACATGGTATTCTCCTCTGTGTGTGTGTTTGTCTCTGAATTTCCGTCTTCTTGTAAGGACACCAATAATACTAGAAACTCTAATGACCCCATCTTAACTGCGGAGACCTGATTTCCAAATAAGGTCACATTCATGGGTGCCAGTGGTTAAGACTTCTTCATTTTGGGGACAAAATTCAACCCATAATCCTCATTTATAAGCCTTTCAGGACTACTTAATGTTTTTACAATGGACATAAATTATTTTGATTAAAAGTGGGAAAAACAGTGGACTAGATTGTTCTTCACTTCTTCCTGAAGAAATGGTGACATCCCCAAGATCCTAATTGTACCGTCTGAGCAGCACGTATTGGGTGGGATTCTCTTGGATGTCTCCTTCATCTTTGATAGACCATCTACACCTTCACGTTTCCCTCCCCTGGGGTGTTTGCAAACTAAAATGAAAAGATGTACTAATGTGCAGAACCTCAACAAGGCAGATGCCAGGGGGAAGCTGGGGGGTGCCATATGCATTGCACTCTAGCTTCCAGCAGCTTTCCTCGTGAGCAGTGCCCAGTGTGTGAGTGTGTGTGTGTGTGTGTGAGATTTGCCAGGCTGGCATTTGGTGTATTGCTGGGTTTTATTTTCTCTCCTATAGACAGTAAATCATTTTTCACCTTGGGCCCCTGAATCTCTCTTTAGGAAAGGATTTTGTTTTCTGCTGGGCTGTGATAGGAAAAAAGGAAGAGACATTGTACTCTGTGCATGTGAGTACATGCTGAGCATTTCCCAGTATCTTGTATCAGGATATATTAAGACAAGGGGTTGCAAGTGCAGGTATACTATTTGGCATAATATAAGCCTTGACTTTGGATAGTTTCTTAGGTCAGGGTCCCCCAGGAGCAAACCCTGAGACAAGTATTTGAAAACAAGCAGTTTATATGAGAGATGATCCCAGGAAACACCAGCAGGGTCACCAGTGGGCAGTGGAAAAGGTAAAGGCAGCCAATAAAGGCTGCATTATTGGGCAGGTCACTGCTGTGGCACCTGGGGCATGATCCACAGAGGAAGTCTGGGAGGCAGTGCAGAATATGTGCCTCAGTGTCTCTCCACCTGAGGGGGGTGGGTGCTGGCCTGCTTTATTATGGGTTGAATTGTGTCCCCAGAAAAAAAACATGTTGAAGTCCCAACCCCTAATACATGTAAATGTGACCTGACTTGAAAATAGGGTGGTTGCAGATGTAATTAGTTAAGATGAGGTCATACTGGAGTAGGATGGGTCCTTAATTCAATATGACTGGTGTCCTGATGAAGAACACCATGTTAACAGACAGACTCACAGGGAGAGAGTGCCCATGTGCAGACAGAGGTGGCAGTGGGAGCTCTGCTGCCACAAGCCAAGGAAGGCCTGGAAGAAGCAAGGAATGAAGAAGCAAGGATGAAGCAAGAAACCAGGAAGAAGCAAGGAATGATCCTCCTCTACAGGCTTTGAAGGGAGCATGGCCTTGCCAGCACCTTGATTTTGGACTTCTGGCCTCCAAAACTGTAAGAGAATAAATTTCTCTTGTTTTAAGCCATCCGTTTTGTGGTGATTTGTTATGGCAGCCCCAGAAAACTAGTATGGTATGTATTTACCAACCCCCCTTGTCCACTATAAGAGCTACCTCCTCCAGCAGCCTTCCCCTCCTCACACCCCCATCACTGCCCTTTACAAACAGGCAGTCACAATCCCATGGCCAGAAAAAAAAAAAAATGCAGGCAGAGAGATAGCAAGAAACCTTCTAGAAGTGTGTGTCCAGGTTTAGAAAAATTTGCCATCAGATTTATAGCACTGATGGGCTCCCCATATGACAAAGCAGCAATGCTCCTGGAAAAGTATGTCACAGAGAGTTCATCTAAAAAGAATCTGGTTAAGTAGCACAGGCAATTCTTGACTTAGCCAAGAGGAGGAGAACCAGGTCTTCCTTGATGGATAAAAGTCCTACGTGATTTTAAGTCTTATTTTTGCCTCTGCTGGGGCTCGGCCCACACCATCCCAAAATATGACTGGAGGAGACCACAATGTGCCACCCAAAAATATACCTCTTTGGCATATTTCGAGCTGATTATTCAGAGAAACTACAGACACAGGAATGGCTCTAAAAAGCTGTCCTTTTTACAAGGAAATGTACATCTAGAAAGGAAATCTACATTAGTAAAGTATCTGTATCAGGAAGAAGGCTGCTCAGAGGTAGGGATCTCAGAAGGAAAGCTGGTCAGCAGCCAGGATGCCTTCCCCGCTCAGGAAAGGACATGGTCTCTAGTGAACCTGACAGACAACCAGATGGCCGCTGGCCTCCATATGCACAAACAATGAAAGTACACTGGAGCCCATTATGAAGAAGAAAGATGGTAACAAAGATTCAAATGGCATGAAAAAGAATCTTCAGTTTGTTGGCATTAATGGAGGTTATGCAACAACTTCAAGTGATGATTTTCACACAGATGAAAGCTCTTCTTCTGAGTCAGATGACGAGTGTGATGTCATTGAGTGTCATTGAGTAGTATCCTCTTGAAGAAGACGAGGATGAAGACACTTGGGGAATGGCCAAAGGGCACCATGCCATTAACATTGAAGGTTTCAAGTTGGCCAGGGTGGAAGATGAAATGCAGTTTCAAGAACGTGAACCTGAGAAGGTGAAAATCAGAGGGAGGTATAAATTAAGTGAAAAAATGTTGTCTGCTTGCAACTTACTGAAAAATAATATAAATGACCCCAAAGCTGTGACCAGCAAAGATATGAGGTTCTGTCTGAACACCCTCCAGCACAAGGGGTTCTGCGTGTCCAGTCAGAAGTTAGCCATTGCAGCCACCCTGGGAGACTACAGAGCTGCTTTTGAGGCTACCTCCCTGGATGCCCTCTACTAGGTCATCAACTTGGCAGATGGCAACAGCAACACAGCCCTCCATTACAGCATGTCCCACTCCAATTTTGAGATTGTGAAGCTGCTGTTGGACACCCACATGTGTAACGTGGATCACCAGAACAAGGGGCTATACCTTCATCATGCTGGCGGCCCTCGCAGCTGCGGAAGCAGAGGACATGCAGGTTGGGGAAGAACTCTGGCTGAAAGGTGAGCCTCAAAGCCAGTCAGCTGGGGCAGATGGCCCTCATGCTGCAGTCAGTTACTGTGCAGATCGGCATGGTGTATGGTCTGCCGGCCTGTGGGGCTCAGGTCAACCTCCAGGACGACAAGGGCTCCATGGTCCTCATTGTGCCAGCAAGCACGGGCACATGGAGATCATCAAGCTGCTGCTGGCCCAGCTGGGCTGCAACGTCCACCTGCAGGACAATGATGGCAGCACCATGCTCTCGATCGCCCTGGAAGTGGGGCACAAGGGCATCACTGTTCTTCTGTATGCCCACATCAGCTTTGCAAAAGCTCAGTCTCCGGGCACCCCTAGGCTTGGAATGAAGCCACAGAGTTTCATTTGATTGATTGTATGCAAATAGCCCTCCATTTTAATGCCACCATTAAGCTGCCAACTGTGCCTGTTGGAATGACAGACACTGAATGTATATGCATTGTGCCTGAGCTCACCAGCAAACAGAAGCATAAAGCCCAGGGCTAAAGACTGAAGCTTTCACAGTGCAGAGACTGCCAGCCTGGGCACACATGCCTCCTTTCTGGCCATCTTCTGTCTGCGTACGGTGCACTTTAACCTACTCTGTGTTGCTGTTGAGTCTCTGCTCTGTTATGTACAGCCATAGGGAATTGTGACCTGACCTGACCTGAATGGGCACCTTCTATTCCGTCTCTCCACTCCCAGACCACCACCACAGAGAAGTGTCAGGTTCTCATTGGCATCACGTTTTAAAATTTTTCCACAAATATTTATATTTACCAAATGTGGCACCATTAGAAAGCTCTTCCAAAATTCCATCCCAGCACAGTTTTGTTGATTTTTCTTGTATTATTTTAAAGTAAGAAAGTTGATCATCAGTAACTTCAGTCTGGGCTAGATAGAACTCTCAAAAACTATGAAACTTACAAAAGAAAATATTTTCATTTGGTTTCATCTAGGTAGATGTAAATATGACTTTTTTAAAAAAAAAGAGTATATGAAATTGGCACAGTATTTTCAACTTTTATATTTCATACTAATTAAAGACATGAAGAACTACATGTAACATTATCATATTTTTGTTAATAATTGCACAATTCTGTATCTAATGATAAAGGTTGAATTGTGTTAGAGGAATTGGCTATGTATTTGCCTCTAGAGAAATATAGTGTAGTTCTCTGTATTTATGGATTCCTTTATACTGTGTCACATTTACTTTGGTCCTACATGTATTTAAATATTTGAAGTGCCTTAGACTTTTGCCATATTTTCAAAATAAAATTTCATTAAGCTTTTAAAAAAAAAAAAAAAAGAAGGCTGCTGGATCACTTTGATTACCTGAGAGATTTTATCTGCATAACAACACAACCTTTATTTATCATACAATTCCTCCTGCTACCTTCCCATAACTGTGTCCCCCAGGAACCCCAAGCCCCCTATTCTCTTCTGTAGCTCAGGATGCTATAAAAACTTCAATCATCTGGCCCTTCTGAGTCTTCTATTGTGTGGGACTCCTGGGCCTATGCATGTAATTAAAATGTTTTTTTCTCCTGTTAATCTGCCTACGGTCAGTTTATTCCATAGACTTAATTATCCAACCTTCAGAGAGTAAAGAGAAGGTCTTACTCTCTTCTGCACCACCTTCCAGAGAATAACTCTTTACCAAAACTGTGAAAACAGTAGAAATCAACCAAGTAGAAGCCACCAAGGGTGAGGAATTAAATGACAGGTAAAAAAAGGGAGAAGGGGAATTGTCCAACTGTATTGTCCTAAGAAGCTGCAAGAATGATTACGGCAGCAGCTAACACTTCCTATGCCGTTGATATACACCAGGCACTGCTCTGTTTTGCATCAACTCTATCATCCTTGTAACAACTCAATGAGACAAATATCTTATTTCATTGATGATCTTGAGGTTCAGAGAGGAAAAGTAACTTGCCCAAAGTCAGAGCTACTTAGTAACAGAGTCAGCAGAGTAAAAGCTCTACCTTTTTTTTTCTTTTTGAGACAGGACCTTACTCTGTCACCTAGGCTGGAGTGCAGTGGCACGATCTCGGCTCAATGCAGCCTCAACTTCCAGGGCTCAAGTGATCCTCCCGCCTTGGCCTCCTGAGTAGGGAGGGACTATAGGCGCACAACACCATGCCTGGCTAATTTTTAAATTTTTTGTAGAGACGGGGTTTCGCCATGTTGCCCAGGCTGGTCTCAAACTCCTGAGCTCAAGCAAACCACCTGCCTTGGCCTCCCAAAGTGCTGAGATTACAAGTGTGAGCCACCATGCCTAGCCTCTCTCTCTCTCTCTCTCTCTCTCTCTCTCTATATATATATATATATATATGTATATATATATATATATATATATATATATATATTTTTTTTTTTTTTTTTTTTTTTTTTCTGAGAGAGTCTCGCCCTGCCACCCAGGCTGGAGTGCAATGCCTGATCTGCGCTCACTGCAACCCAAGTAGCTGGGATTACAGGTGCCCGCCACCATGCCCAGCTTTTTTTTTTTGTATCTTTATTAGAGATGGGGTTTCACCATGTTGGCCAGGCTGGTCTCAAACTCCTGACCTCGTGATCTGTCTGCCTGGGCCTCCCAAAGTGCTAGGATTACAACTGTAAGCCACCGCACCCAGCTGCCTCTATCTTCTTAAGGAGTAGAAATCAGACAAGATCTGAGGGGCCAGGGATCTGTCTTGACAATCCAGATGTTTTCACTCCCACCCCGGAATTCTTCCCATTATCCAAGCTTTCTTCTCAGCCCTGAAAAATGAACTTTGGCTGGCTACTTGTAGAGCTCTTTAGATAAAGGAATTTTTAAAGTAATATCTTATGATTGTTTTTGAAACAGGTTCTTCAAGCCCCTGTAATCTCTCTCAGCATGGGGGAGTAGATGTCTTTTTCTAATCTATTTCTCTTTATATCCTGCACATTACTTCAAAAGGTTTGCTTTTTTATTCTATTATGCATCCAAAACCCAACAAATCCTAGGGCCATCTTTTGCAATTTACTTCAAAGAATAGATTTGAAAAGTCACACACCTCTCTCTTTGCCCAAAAGAAGCTGAGAACAATGAAGCTTTTGGTCTCAGGTGAATCTTTTATTATTTCCAACTGAGACAAACATTTTTCCAAAGACAGTAGCACAGTCATTGTCATAAGCATGTTAATATGTCTATTTTGCAGAAAAGAATATGCTACAAGTCATGCAATTCACATTTTCAATAGCATTCTGACAGAAATTAAAGACAATTCCAATTGTGTCAAACATTTAATGAATAGTAAGTTCTACTTTCTGCCCTTGGGTAGATAAATGGTGTCTTTCAGTGAAGTGGTGAAAAACAGATCATGTGATGGCTGCTTCTTAACAGTGCCCACCGCTCCAATGACAGTCAGCCCCTTTGGCTGAATTTCTCAGCTATCTTCTGTAGTTCCAAATCCATTGCAGCCAAGTTTTCGAGTTCTTTTTTCTGGAAAATACAGAAAAGTGGAGGCATGAGGTCCCGAACCAATTTCTTTTGCTGTAGTTTGATGGAGCATGAGTGCAAAGGGGAATTTTAGGCATGTTAGAAGCTGCATTAGTCAACCTACCTCAGTAACTCTCAAAGTGTGGTCCCCTGACCAGTGGCATCAGCCAGGAACTTGTCAGAAATGCAGATATTGGGGTCTCACTTGGGACCTACTAAATGAGGAACTCTGGGGGCTAGGAATCCCTCATGATCCTAATGTACATTCAACTTTGAGAAGCACCAACCTACATAATCAATATTAGGAAAAAAAACATTGTTTGGGTAGGTTCAGCTCCAGTAGTGTTACCTCTCCCAGATACAAATTTCTGATGGCAGTAGGGCATGAAATAATAAAGATAGCAAACTAAATAGGCAAGCAAGTAAACTTCTCTATCACCTATTCTCCCTGCCTCAGGGAGAGAGTGATGAACAATAAGAGGACCAAGGGGAAGATACCAGAACAGCAGTTGTTAACGTTGGCTGAACGCTGCAATCATCTGGAAGCTTTAAAATATTCTGATGATCAGGCAGCACCCTAGGAACTAAGTAGACAGAATCTCTAACACAGTAATTTTTCACGCTCTCCAGGTGACCCCAGTGTGCAGACAAGGTTGAGAAGCAATGCAACCGAGTGAGGTGGACAAGGATGTGGACGATGGCTAGAGGTAGGTGGAAACCGACCCCCAAGGTGGCCTCCACTCCATTACTAGAGCACCATTTTCATAGTGATTAATTCCCACCAATTTCTCCCCGTGAATATCGGATAGTCTTGAACATAATGTGCTAACATTGACCAGAGTAAGTACTTTTAAACAGAAGCCCTAGACCATACCTCGTCCTCTGTCAGGACTGTCTGGTCAGCCCTGTCCTTTTCATTTTCTGCCTCCTGGTGGGTGCTCACCGGCTCCTCAGAATCATAGAAGTCTGGAAACTCAGCTGACTTCTTCCTGTAGTGAAGGAGCTGGTCCAGTTGGGCCACCCTGTCATATTGCCTTTTCAGGTCCAGCTTGGGGACCCTGGCGAGGTTTCTCTTCTCATACCCCCAGTTCACATCCTCAGAGAAGGGCTTTTTCTCCCACCAGTCATAGTTGTATTCTGGGAAGAAATTCTTCTCGTTCAAGGTCAGCTCATTTTCCTCCTCACCCTCGAGAAAATTGTCATTCATGTTGTCTCTTCTTTCAAAATGGCTGCTCTTCCACTGGAGAGGGTCGTAGTATGGGTTGAACAGTTCCCCTAATCTCTTCCTCTTTTCAGCTGTGTGATGGGAGCTATATTGTTTATCTTGAAACCTAGCTTCCTCCCTGTTTTCTTTAGTGTCCTGCAGGTCTCCCTGCTGCTGCCACTTCCCTGGGGCTCCTTCCTCACCGTAGTTGAGATAATTTCTGTCCAGCTCTTTCCACGCACCTTGTGGATGCCTCCTTGCCTTGTCCATCTGGTTTTCTTGGACACGGTGGTGTCCTTCACCCAAGAACCTTTTCTCTTCTCTGGTGTCAGACATGAAATAGGCACGTGGCTCCCCTCCCCTGCCTCTGTGATGGCGTCCCTTTCCCGGCTCAAGGCCCCTCTCTTCCTCACTTTCTTCACCATATCCATGTGCCATCTTATCAAGCTCTAAGCTGGGGTAGTTTCTCTTGTCCTCCTCATCCCAACTCTCCTCACTCTGAGGTCTTGGAGCCCTGTATTCTTCACTTCCTCTGCCCCTATAGCGCTCCCACTCCAGGTCCTCAGGGGCCTGGACGCCTGGATAACCCTTTATTTCTTCTCCATATTCAGGTTCTTCCTCTGAAGCCCTGTAGTGGGTTGAATGGTGGTCCCTCTTTTCCCCTAAACTGGCCATGCTGACGTTTGACTCCTCAGATTCCTCCTGGGGGTGTCCCTTTTCCTCAGAGGGAAGACTCCCTCCTTGAGAGGACCTGTCGGGCCTGCTCCTCCCGTGGTGGTGTCTGGGCCTCGTGCGTCGTTTGTCCACCTCAGAGGTGGCATCTTCCTCACCTTCCTCAGATTCTTCCTGGCTTCGGGGTTGGCCTTTAGACTCCTGGGGGTGATTCTCCTGGCTCCCTGTCTCCTCTCCACTCTCCTGGCTACTCTTCTCTCGGCTATGTGTCTTCTCCTGAGAATGCCCGGCAGCATGTGTTTCCGATCTGGCCACTAACTCCTCTTTTTTTATAGCTGAAGCCTGCTTTCTTTCATTGAGAAAAGCGTTTTGTGTCTCTCCTGGCTCTTCAAGGTGTTTCTCTTCACTGCTATCTTCCCCTCGCTCCCCTTTTTGATAGTTCTCTCCCTCCTCCTCCTCCTCATCCTCTCTCTGGCTCTTCTCAGAATGGCGTGTCTTCACTTCTTCAGAGACTTGGCTGTCGGAGGGATAGAGGCTCCACTGGGGCTCATCCGCTCGCTCTCGGCTGTGCCCGCCTCCCTCTGCCCATTTCTCTGTGTCTGCCTTTGTTGGGCCTTGGATGTCCTCCTCCCCTGGGGCTCCTGCCTCTCCCCTGCTGGAGGACTCGTGGGCTTCCGAGGCATCAGCTGGGTCTCTTAACAATCTTACTTCAAACTTTGTGTTTTCATTTTCAGTTGTCTCTTTGTCTTTGACGTCTTTTCTACCTATAATGAAAATGAAGAGTAGGTATAATTTCAGAATTGCTTGTGGTTCCACAAGCACCAGCCTCAGTAATCACTACAAATCCTGATGACACTGAAAATTGCTTGGATAATTATTTAAGTTAATGAAGAATATACTCAGATTCCTTTTGAAAGTAAATGCTATGAAAGCTCCTTGACTGTGTTTAAATCTGGTAATAAACTGTCTATATTTTTATGTCTTCATAATGCCCAGCCAGCTTCTCTCATTGGTACTACCAATGATCAAACTGAAATCGAGATATAGATTTATGAAATATTAGAATTTAGAGGCAGGAAACATCTTAGAATTCATCTAATCCAGTCCAACCTCTTCTTTTTGCAGACATTGAGACTCAGCATGGTATAATCCAAGACCATTCTTTCCATATTTTCTTCAAGTAGGAGTTAAAAAGTTAGCACTATGTGAATGGCTCTAACAATAATCCAGCTAGATAGTTAACTAGCCAAAATAAGAAATATCAAGATTCAAAGGAGGATTTAAACATTTGAAATTATTAGTTTATATCAGACTTTTATTATCCAATCAACTGTAGGCTCAACCTAGCAGTATGTGATATATAACTTAGTAGCTGGTGATAAGGGTGTACATTTCTTGCCTGAGAAAACTGCACATCAGTGGAAAGGGCCATTTCTTTCTTCACTCAGGTTCCATCCACCCAACATGTTCTCAGATGTTGGGGACAGACTTCAGCACAGTGAGTTATCTTTGTGTTTCCAGAGTCAGAGTACATGGTATAACTGATATTTTAATTGAATGCTGTTCTCGTCCATCTTTTCCAAATATCAATAGCTCCTTTACTAAGTCCTCCTTAACTCAAGGGCACCCCATGAAAGGAGATAGGCAGTTAGCATTGTCTCAGTTGTTAGCTGGGAGGGCTTGGATTTCAACCTATGTCACAGAGTTCAGATAAAATGCCTGAAGCCAAGGCCACTGACAGCTCTGGGTCTACACTGCAGGCACCATAAGCCCAAGTGCTGTTGAGCACTTGAAATGTGGCTGGTCCGATCTGGGACATGCTATATATGTAAGATACACATCAGACTTCTGAGAATAAAGAATAATGTAAAATAATCTCAACAATTTTTATATCATTATATGTTGAAATAATATTTTGGATGTATTGGATAATATATATTTCAAATAGATCAGATTTATAAAATTATATATCAGAAAAAAATTGGATAAAAATAAAATATATTATTGAAATTAATTTCCACCTGTCTCTTTTTACTTTTTAAATGTGGTTACTATAAAATTTGAAATTATATTTGTGGCTCACATTATATTTCTATTGGGTGGCACTGATAAGTTATTTTGAAATGATATTTGCAAAATGGAAAAAAATTATTTATTTTGTAAAAATGTCCAAGAAATAGTGGACTCTCTGTACCTCTCTGTTTAAAGTCCAGTCTGGCATGATAATAATATTCTCATGTTTATGAGGCAATGAAAATGTCCCTGGCCTTTTCCAGACATCTGAGAGAAGGCCCATCTGTCACCAGTCTCTTTGCCTCTTAAAAGCCAGTGGTGGTGTGTATAGCATTGGGGCATGGCTAGCCAGATGGGCACAGGGAAGCATGGTGGCTCTGGGCAGTGCTATTGACTAAATGTTTGTGTGATTCCAAAATGTTGAAGCCCTAATCCTCAATGTGATAGCACGTGGAGGTGGGGGCCTCTGAGAGGTAATTAGGTCATCAAGGTAGAGCACTTACAATGGGATTAGTGCCCTAAGAAAGGAGATATGAGAAAGAGATGATTTCTGTCTCCACCAGATGAGGATACAGTGACAGAAGGCAGCCATCTACAAGCCAGGAAGTGGGCCCTCATAAGACACTCTGATCTTGGACTTCCGACTGCTGTAACTGTGAAAAATAAATGTTAGTTGTTTAAGCCATCCAATCTATGGTATTTGATATAGCAGCCCAAGCTGACTAAGACAGACAGATACTGATGTCATTCTGAGAGTTGGTTGAAATAGAGCTGATCAGACAAGATCTCAGCCTCCAGGGGCCGAGTCACTGTGGTCCCTTTCCTACTGCCTACTGGTTTGTGAGTCTTAAGTGTCAGGAACAGAAGTATTTTTATTTTTTCCCAATTAAATATGTACTGCCTGAGCAGCATGTGCCTGAGGCTTAGCTCTTCCTACTAAATTTAGCTTTAAGCCCCGCAGGTGGGCCTGGAAGAGGCTGTGATAGCAGCACACACTCACTGTCAAGCTGTAAAATCAAGCTGTGAAGCTCACACTTACTTTCAAGCGAAAACAGGGAAATGCATCTGTCATGCTGTAAGGATGACCAGATCAACCCTAGTCAAAGAGATTCTTGTACCTGTGAAGAAATTAGACTACGTCTTCCCTGAGGTCTCTCAAATCCATAAAACAATGATTCTGTCCTACTCCCCAAATACTCATTTGCTCAGTGAGTATATGCTGACTCTGAGACATGCAAGTAGGAGTGGGAGTGGAGATGGGCGTGGGGTGGAACAGAGGCTGTATAAAGGCATTCATCCAACCAGTTGGGCAAAAGCTCCACCAGTCTTCTGATCAGTTTACGACATGCCAACAAGAGAGAGAGAACTAGAATAGGATAAAAGTTGCAAACTGGTGCATCAGAGGTAAATTCTGTTTGACCTAAACAGCAGTTTTAGTACATCTGAATTCAGAGGCGATATGAAAATACCAGGAGATGTCTTTTAAAAATCAAAATTTTAACTTCTTTTGAAAAATCCCAAGATTTGACAACATAGTCTGTATTTCTCCATAACGGGTTTAGAGCTGAGAATTACCTGCTCCCTCTCAGAAAAGGCATGTGCCCTCCAGTCTGTGAGTCACTTCCTGTCCTGCCTTACTCTTTTGTGTTATTTGTCTGTCTAGCTCTGCCTGGTGTTTAAGGCTCAACCACAGAAGAGCTCTTAAACCTTCGCCATCTCAGCATTCTGTCACTCTCTGGGTATAACATCTCCAGGATCCTTAGATACATTTGATTTTTCCCAGTTTCCCTACGTCTCTCTCAACAGACACCAAAAGACCTCAGGGCATAATCAGGGCTGGAGCAGAGGCTAGAGTTACTATGCCATAATCTAAGGGCTAAGATCTTGGCAGGCAGGCATAGGCAACTTTTCCTAAGCAACTGTGGTTCTTTAGTGAGCTGATGGGACAGGCCCCTCACTTTTGCATTGGTCTAGTAAACAAAGAAAGGGAAAGGGAGATACCAAGATGGGTTTGCCAAAAGGAGCAGCCTTTACTCTCTGCCTAGTGACCCACTCTGCTCTTACTCACTTCCTGTAACTGCTGGAAAAAAGAAGTTGGAAAGAAACTCAGAAAGAGGTATGTGGGCTGGGAGTGGTAGGAAAGCTTCCATCCACTGTTTCTAGGGTCCCTAAAGGCTCAGGCCCCCACAGCTACCATTGTTACCTGAAGCCCCCAAAGATTGAATTAATTCAGGTTGCTCTTTTTTTTTTTTTTTTTTTTTTTTTTTTTTTTTTTAGACAGAGACTCGCTCTGTCACTGAGGCTGGAATGCCGTGGGGCAATCTCGGCTTACTGCAACCTCCACCTCCTGGGCTCAAGCGATTCTCCTGCCTCAGCCTCCTGAGTAGCTGGGACTACAGGCGTGTGTCACCACGCCCGGCTAATTTTTTGTATTTTTAGTAGAGATGGGGTTTCACTGTGTTAGACAGGATGGTCTTGATCTCCTGACCTTGTGATCCGCCCGCCTCAGCCTCCCAAAGTGCTGGGATTACAGGTGTGAGCCACTGCGCCTGGCCTCAGGTTACTCTTTTGGCCAATCACTATTTGCTTTTTACCATTTCATGCATGAGGGCTCATGTATAGCTATAGCAAGAGAGTCTTGTCTGGCAGCGAGAGGTGTTTATTTGGTGTTTTTTTTGTTTTTGTTTTTGTTTTTGATGGAGCCTCACTCTGCCACCCAGGCTGTATCCAGGCTGGAGTGGAATGCCACGATCTCAGTTCACTGCAACCTCTGCTTCCCAGGTTCTAGCGATTCTCCTGCCTCAGCCTCCCAAGTAGCTGGGATTACAGGCGCCCGCCACCACACCCAACTAGTTGTTGTATTTTTAGTAGAGATGGGGTTTCACCATATTGGCCAGGCTGGTGGCAATGAGAGTTTTTTTTTTTTTTTTTTTTTTTAGATGGAGTCTTACTCTTGTTGCCCAGGCTGGAGTTCAATGGAGTTCAATCTTGGCTCACTGCAGTCTCTGCCTCCCAAGTTCAAGCAATTCTCCTGTCTCGGCCTCCTGAGTAGTGGGATTACAGGTGCCTGCCACCATGCCTGGCTAATTTTTTTTTTTTTTTTTTGTATTTTTAGTAGAGACAGGGTTTCACCATGTTGGCCAGGCTGGTCTCAAACTGCTGACCTCAGGTGATCCACCTGCCTCGGCCTCCCAAAGTGCTGGGATTACAGGTGTGAGCCACTATGCCCACCTGAAAGATTTTTAAAGGTGAAAAAATAAGATAAAATCTACTGTTCCCAGCCTGACTAAAAGTTTAAAAGCAGAGGACAGTGTTGAAGAGGGCAGTGTTTTCTGGATTTGTTTGAATCAGTGTGGCTTCATGCATAACAGAGACTGCATAGTTTTGTAAAATTGACCTCATAATGTCAATTTCCAATGGGTACTGCTTATATTACTGTTCAAATTTTATTTTCAGCAGAAATGGTTTCATATTGAGAACACTTCACAGGCTGGACTCAGAAAGCCATTAGTCTGCCTCACTGGAATGCACTGCCTCTACCTGAAACCCTTCCAGTTCTCAGGCCTGGAACTCCTGGTACCATTTGGTGGCACCTTCTATTCTAGTAAGCTATACATTAAAATATCTTAGCTAATTTGTTGTGTAAATAGGCCAGAATTTTAAGTCACCTTTCTAAGTTTCTTGCTTCTCAGCTTCCTGATTCTCACTGTCAGAAGAGCAAAAGGCAAAGAGAAGAATGATTTTTAAATCTCCCTCTGTCATTGTCCAACACTTCCATAACCCCCCTCCTCATCTAATCACAAACCAGCATTTCCCAAACCCCCTCCACCCAAAGGAAGTCCGGTTCTAAAAATCCAAAGTATGGAACTAAGGAATTTAAGAACGGATAGACATCTGAAAGACTATCACTGAGTTCAACTCCTTCATTTTACTTTGAGGAAAAGAGAGGCAAACTGTCTTTCCTATAGTCACACAGCTGCGAAGTGGTAAAGCAGGAACTAGGAGTCATATCTTCTGTCTCCCAGATACTGGCCTAGTCAATCAATACTCTTCCTAGTGCATTATGCCCCCAGGTCATTTGTAGATAAAGTAGAAGGTGATGTGGAGGGAGTAGGAACAAGGATCACTGCAGTGACCAAGATCTGCCTGCCGTGTGGGACACTTACTCGTCTTCAGGACTTGGCGGCACTCAGGGGTGATGGGTGGAGCGCTGGACTTCGACAAGGCATTTGAGAGGACCTCAATGATGCAGCGAGTCACCTGGGGGGAAACCCGAAAGCAGGTTGGAGAAGCTGGTATCACTGGATGACAGACTACTCAACCCAGAGCTGCTGTCAAGGAAGACTTGATTACGTGACCTGGGCTGATGCAGTATTCTTAGGGCGGAGATACAGATTTACAGGAACAGAATGAAATCTTCCAAACTTCTACACAGAATAATGCAAGAAGGCACTGAGTTGGGATTATCTGGAGAAGGGAAATAAACACCCATTTCTGAACCAATGGCACAGCTATCCTCAGGGGTGCTAAACCATCCTGACAGGACATAGGAGCTCAGTGCAGGAGGGGCATCCCTTGCTCACATTCTGTCAGCAATGAAAACCTGGCTTTGTAAGATTATGTCATGCGTGTGTTTGGTTTGGTATAATAGGGACTGGGAGAATCTAGAGTCTAGACACAAGTCTAGATTCTAAGATTGACATTGCAACTTACCATTCCTTCATTGTGGTTCCTGTTATCCACTGGCATGGAATTGACAGCTTTGAAGGAGAAAAAGAATGGAAAATGACTTGAGTTGGTTTTTGAAAGCTGTGTGACCCCAACTGACAAAATCACCCCACATTAGTTGTTGTTTTTCCCCTGGCAATGTCTTAAATATATTTGGAAACAAATGCTATTTTAGATCCGGTATAAATCAAATCTAGACCACAGACAAGGAGGGGACTTCTGGGGAACCAGAAATGTCCCATTTTTTAATCTCAGTGCTGGTTACACAGGTGTGCGTATTAAGCTGTATACTCATGATCTGTTCCATTTTCTATATATTTTATTTCAATTAAAAGTTTAAGCTAGGGCTGGGTGCGGTGGCTCATGCTTGTAATCCCAGCACTTTGGGAGGCCAAGGCTGGTGGATCACAAGGTCAGGAGATCGAGACCAACCTGGCTAACATGACAAAACCCTGTCTCTACTAAAACTACAAAAAATTAGCCAGGCGTGGTGGCACGCGCCAGCTACCTGGGAGGCTGAGGCAGGAGAATTGCTTGAACCCAGGAGGCGGAGGTTGCAGTGAGCCATGATCGTGCCACTGTACTCCAGCCTGGGTGACAGGGCCAGACTCCGTCTCAAAAAAAAAAAAGTTTAAACCAAACTAAGTCTAATAAAACAAGAATGCCCTCCTTGGTCCTTCTCTGCCTACCCCAAATAGGTAAAGATCTGTGGCTCTCTCTCCGTATCTCTGTTTCCAAAAATATATCCTCCCAAAACTTACTTCCTTGACAAAAACATGGTTATGGATGTCTTCCATAATTAATTACCTCATTTTTCACCCGCAAGGCCTTTGCCTGAACAAGCTCGTTTATGCATCCGTATCAACATTGTGTTTCTCTTTCTCCACACTGTTTGCAACCATGTAAAGAACATGGCAGATATCTAACCCTCCTAGTACAGCATCAAGTCCATAATATTTTATGCAAATTGGTGTTTAACCATTGGTTTATAAGAATATTTTAAAAGAAAAATTTTAATTTATTTCAATAAAATTTCATGGGATTCCGCCTATCTTAAAACAGTGTTTGAAGTTGCTTTGTCTTCTTCAAAAATGCTTCAGGTAATTTTAATTTTTCAGTGCCATTTTTTTTCTGTCTCAAAGCTGCTTTGATTCTTTTTTCACTTTGACTTTGTTCTAAGCCCTTTCTATTAGAACAGCCCAAAGCATTTACATGTAAGTCCATCTCTACAGTTCTCCTGGCATTCCTGTAGCAGGCAACTGAGCAGGAGACGCTAGTGCAGAAAATTCTTCTAAGTCCCTGAGAAGAGAGTAGAGCTAGCTGGGGCAAGTTCTCAGACATCAGACATGAAAGCTATTCAAATGCAGCAACCTGACCTTTCCTTGCAAAATGCTTTGCTCTAAGCCTCTTTAAACATTCCCCACCCCCTATCAATTACATATCATGGGGCTCAACCTGGAAATAAAACACCTATTCATTTACTTACTTTACCAAATTTTTCTTTTCAAAGCATGATCTGGGATCACTTCAACTGTTTCAAGAAGCCCAAAGTTATGCTATGAAGACCCCAAGTTCCTCCTGAAATGCTTATCAGGCAAGATCCAGTTGGCCCACTTTTGGTACCCAAGGTCCAATATACTCAACTGTTCTTTCATCCTCCAAATGGCTACTTGAGAACACACCCATTTCAGCACTTTCTCTTTCCGCTGGAAATCTGTAATATCTTCTGCAAATAAATGACTGCGAGAGAATAACTCCCCTAATAAATCAGATGACTTTTAAAAAATGCAGCTTTACTAAGCCTTCTTGATAATGCAGTTTCTTGCTAATACTTTCCCTTTTTTTTTACAAATGTAAAATAGATGTTTTTATTAACTACTGGTATTGCTGAAGTATTAATAGTTACCAGATTTGGGGGCAGAGAAAGATTTTTCTTTTATTACTCTAGACAACTTGTAGCTTAGGTTTGTATTTATGAAACCGTTGTTTCTCTGACTGAGGCTCTTCAGATCTCTTTTTGATGGAAAAAAAAACTAGGGTCTGCTTTTGAACATACATTATACATCTTGGTGAGACATCTAGGTGCTTCTGTATTTTTCCGGTAAAATTTGTGACAACAAGGTAATAGCCAAAGGCATGTTGTCATCCTTAAAGTAGTTCAACTTACTTTTGCATACAGTAAGATTCAGGTGGCACAACAGAAAATCTAATGCTCTCTGTAGGTATATACGAAAAAAAAAGAAAACCTACTGCTCGTGTTAAAAGTAAAGCAATCAAATGGTAGAAAAATTATCAAATAATCTGGTAAATCTGAGAGCAACTTCTGATGTATTAATATCTAATACTGTTAAGGTTTGATACTGGATTGAAAATATAACTGTAAAATAAGTTAAATAAGCTCTTCTGAATTTAGAAACCATTTTCCCGGCCGGGTGCAGTGGCTCATGCCTGTAATCTCAACACTTTGGGAGTCCGAGGCTGGCGGATTACCTGAGGTCAGGAGTTCGAGACCAGCCTGGCCAACATAGTGAAACCTCATCTCTACTAAATATACAAAAAAATTAGCTGGGCGTGGTGACACACACCTGTAATCCCAGCTACTCGGGAGGCTGAAGCAAGACAATTGCTTGAGCCCGGGAGATGGAGGTTGCAGTGAGCTGAGATTGCACCACCGCACTCCAGCCTGGCCAACAGAGCAAGACTCTGTCTCAAAAAAAAAAAAAAAAAAAGAAAAGAAAAGAAAAGAAAAAGAAAGATAAAGAAACCATTTTACCTAGAATAATATGGATATCATTTTACTACTTCCCTTATATTAATTTTTAGAGTGCACAATAGCTTCCATAGAAGGTTGTGCATATCTTTCAGAAGTTCTTAAGGATAAGTGAATGAGCTAGATGGTTTCTTGAGGCTTCCCCCAGCCCTGTAATTTTGCAAATTACCAGCTCTACTTGAAGTCTAACATGTCTCATTGCCAGAGGCTGTGGGGAGGTGGGAATGGAGAGGTGCTTGCTAATGGGTTTGTGGTATCTTTCTGGGGTGATGAAAATGTTCTGAAATTTGATAGTGGTAATAGTTGCACAATCTGCGAATATACCAAAAACCACTGAACTATATAATTTAAAAGCGTGGATTATATGATATACAAATTAAGCTCAATTTTTAAAAAGATTATGTCTTCATTTTAGCTGCTATTAAAATATAAACTTTTATTTAAAATATTCTGTTACATAAGAGATCTGTAAGTATTGTACCACAATAGTTAAATCATTCCCACAAATGTCACTGTTTTTGTGGTCTACAGCCTCCTAAGCAAAGCAATTCTTTTCTGAAAGTATTTTGACCAGAAATAATTATAAATATTCATTTGATTTTCTTTAATGAAATTGAGAACATTTATTGACAATTTGTGAGAATGACAAGAATTTTAGCAAATTCTGAATGTATATAGCTTACAATAAAATTAATTACGACTGGCTTTCATTTTGTTTCTACCTTTTGGATCTAGTAATTGCTGCCAATAAAAGCTTCATATTCATGGATGGCAGTATCTCAATTCTAGGTAGGAGTCTCAATCTCAGATATGGACAATTTTCTAAATCATTAAAACAGCTGAAGAAAACCTGTAGTTTAATTTGGTGCTAGTATACTTACTTCTCAATAGTCTCAATATCTCAATACCGGTAGGTGACTCGACTTCAACACACACACACACATGCACACACACACACTTCAGATCTTCAGAGATCATTTGTTTGAGATTCAGGGTAGTTTGAAAGATTAATCCTACAATCTTCCCTACAAAAGGGAAACAGTCAAATATCTACTACTTAAAATTCAATCCTCCTAAATTGGCTAAAACATTTTTTTTTTTACTACTCCAAAGGAACTTTTGTGGTTATTTTGTACTCTAATAATTTTCCTGGAGTACAGAAGTCAAAATACTGCGGTTTCCATTCATAACTAAAAAATGAGGAGCACATGTTCTCAGGACTGCTGAGGCTTTCACAGGTTAAAAAAAAATAATTCCTTTGAGTGTGAAATTAGAAATTACCTGTCCCTAGAGATGGAAATACAAAATAGAGGAACATATTATATTAAACTTGTACATACATGAGCACACATACACACACATTATATATGGACATGTTAAGAAAAGGGATATATCTTATATATATATGGGACTCACTTTTATCTCATCATACTTACATGACAATAACAATAATAAGGGAAATTATGCAGGCACTAAATAGCATCATACATGTATTCCTGCCTCTCTGTAGTCGCCTGGCTTTAAAAAGCCAAACAGATACAGAATCAGACAACAGAATCTCTCTAGACGGGCAGAGAGAGTGTGACATCTTAGAAGCGAATACAAAATGTGAGGTTTCCTTGCAGGTATGGCACGTTTTCTTCCTTCCTATCTAGAGGAAAACTCAGATACAGAAAGACTGAGGCTCCCCTGGTTGGGCTAGGAAGCCCTCTAGCTTTTTCCAAGTCAAACGGGTGGGAGGAGCTGAAGGAAAACACCCAGGGAGGAGAAGAAACGAAGCAAGAGGTAAACCTTCCCCTCAACCCTCCCTCTCTCCCGGGATCCGCCAGCCTGGCTGCGGGAGCGGCGGGGAAGAGCGAGGCTGGCGCTGTCCGCGGTGCTGACCGGCCCGCCGCGCCCACTCACCCGCCAGCCCCACGGCTCCCAGGAGGCTGAGAAGCAGCGTTGGCTGCATGGCCCCGCTCGGCGGCCCCTGTGCGGAAAGGAAGATGGCGGCTGGACCGGAGAAGCGAGGCGCAGGAGGAAGGCGCGATGGAGCGGCCCCGGAAAACCAGCGTGCCTCCTGGTCCCCGCGGTGTGGCGCGGCCGGCGCAGGCCCCGCTCTTTTAAAGGGCAGGCGGGGGCCGCAGGGCCGGGAGGAGCGGGCAGCCAGGAGCGGGCGCCCCCTAGCTCAGCCCTGACGTCACGAAGCAGCACCCCCAGGCGGCGACGCAAATGGGCGGAAATTTACGCCAGTCCAGTCGCCTGGTGTGCAGGGTCTGGAGCGGGGGTGGGGGAAAGGCGGGCCAAAGAATGGACGGCCGAGGGGAGTAGTGCAGATCTGAGATGGTAGGGGAGGCGGGAGGTCCCGCTTCGAGTGCCTCAGCCTGCTCCCCATCTCCCCCCACACACCATCAAATCTAAAACCGTGTGTTTGAGACTATATGCCTGTGTGCTGAGATGTGTGCGTGACGAGGTCTGTTTGTGTCTCCTCGACCTAGCTGAGGAAAACACTCCTGCTACCGAGAGAGAACTAAATGGTTGGTCAGGGAAAATGGAAAAGACAGTGATAGCTTTAAAAGTTAAAAGTGCAGCCGGAGAATATGGGACCTGCTGTTCTCTCAAACTTTTCTTTTTGTCTGCATATCCATCTACCTATCCATGATTATATCTCCTATTCATGATTCTCTGTCTCTCTTCCTCCTCCCTCTCTGAATACATAACATATACACATGGTTTAAAAAAAAAATCAGACGGTACAAAAGGATTTACTATAAAAGTCTCCCTTCTCCCTTTATTTCCAAATCTCAAGTTCCTCAATTCCTCTTTCAGTCAACACAACTTTACTACTCCTATAATTTAGGTTTGACTTATTTTGGAACATATACAGCTGCATCTTCTTTTGAATGATGTATTACATTGAATGGATACAATAGAATGTATTTAACCAGTTCCTTTTCTAATGAGCATTCATTCAGGTTGTTACCCTTTGGTCTTTACTCCTTTACAACACAGCCTTAGTCTCAGGGGTGGGTCGTGTAATAACCTGCTAGTAAGAAATAGTCGATGCTACAAACCCTGTGCATCCTCTCTTGCTTTCAAATTGAGACAGTAAAGTATTTTTGTTATGATGTGTGAGAAAAAGACGAAAGCATCTTCCAGGATATTTTTGATGTGGGTTCCCTCAGCCTAATGAGGAATCGGGAAGCAGCAGCAGGCAGGTGACCTGCACAGAATAGGAATAACACAGGCTTTGTGGAACGGAGTGAGACTTCACTGGGTTCTCTTCATTCAGGGAATGAAGATGTCTGCATGCACAGCTCAAGCGAGGTTTCAGTTTACTTTTCTTGAAAATTAATGAGGTTCAAATTCTTTTTGTATGTGCTGAATGAATGGCTACATCTTCCTGAAAAAGCTGGAAAGTATTTCACCAAGACCACAGCCACAGAACAGTTAAAAGAATGGACTTAAAAAGGATATTAGTGGAACAATGGATAAATGTTGAATAAGATCTATAGGTTACTGTATTGTATTGTATTGTATTGTATTGTATTGTATTGTATTGTATTGTATTGTATTGTATTGTATTGTATTAGTGTTGATTTCCTGATTTTGAAAGTTGTACTGTGTGCCGGGTGTGGAAGCTCACGCCTGTAATCCCAACACTTTGGAAGACTGAGGCGAGTGGATCGCCTGAGCTCAGGAGTTCAAGACCAGCCTGGGAAACATGGTGAAACCATGTCTCTACCAAAAATACAAAAAAAAAAAAAAAAAAAAGAAAGAAAGAAAGAAAGAAAAAAAAGAAAAGAAAAACAAAGAAAGAGAGAGAGAAAGAAAATTGTACTGTGATTATGTAAGAAAATGTCCCTGTTTTTAGGAAACACATCTTGAAGTGACTAGGTGTAAAAGGGTATCATATGTACAACTTCCTTTCACATTTTTAGAAAAAAATATAAAGATAGAGAAAAAGAGAATGCTAAGGTAAGTATGGCAAAATGTTAACATTCAGGGAATTGAGGAGAAAGGTATAAGGGAATTTTTTTTACTATTTTTGCATTTTTCTGAAATCTGAAATACTTTTAAAATTGAAAAAAGAATATTTGGGGCACAAAAGAGTCTGTTTAAAACCTCTGTAGAGCAGAAGGTACAGAAAAAGAAGCTGTTGAGTGAGGGCTGTTCTTTGACTGCAGATCTGCAAGCAATTTTTCCTCTAGAGCTGAAATTATATAAGGGTTCTAATACTCTTTAAGATGCGCTGATTGCCAACAATTCTTTAAAGTTACCACCTTCCAGGAGCATCTGCATCTCGACTTTCCAGTGATTTCCTTCTCTTCTTGCTCCCTTGAAAAGCATGGAGTTAAACAATGTTAACATCATCTTGTGGCTTCTCAGGCTGGGGGCTTGGTCTGAGTTCATTACTCATCAAGTCCTGAAGCAGGAAAGATCTCTTTATTTTTGTCAATTGGAATGAAGAAAAAAAAGGCAACCCTGGCCTACAGCCAGTTCCCACATTCAGACTTAGCTTTCTTTTTAAATTTTTCATCATTGTACAAATGTTTTATGATTTTTGCCTTTCACATTTAGATCTCTATGGAAAAAACAGCCATAAGGAGAAGCTTTTTTTTTTTGAGACAGAGTCTCGCTCGGTTGCCCAGGCTGGAGTGCGGTGGTGCCATCTGGGCTCACTGCAAGCACTGCCTCCTGGGTTCATGCTGTTCTCCTGCCTCAGCCTCCTGAGTAGCTGGGACTACAGGTGCCCGCCACCACGCCTAGCTAATTTTTGTATTTTTAGTAGAGACGGGGTTTCACCATGTTAGCCAGGATGGTCTCGATCTCCTGACCTCGTGGTCCGCCCACCTCGGCCTCCCAAAGTGCTGGGATTACAGGCATGAACAACTGTCCCCAGCCACATTTTTTAGCATATTATCACCCAGTTGTGCTGGAAATTTTTATTGAAGTGACCATCCTTTCCCAACTGCTCTGCAATGTCACTTTGAAAAAAATATCTACAGTCCATAGGTAAGTTGCCAGACTCTTCCAGAACATTGGTCCATTCCATATCACTGAACTATTTGTTCCTGGAAGCAGCACCACACTTTCTCTATCACCATATCTTCTTAATTTTTAATAAGTCTTCTTTTTTTGTTTTTTTTTTTGTTTTTTTGTTTTTTGTTTTCTGAGACAGGATCTCAATCTGTTACCCAGGCTGGAGTGCAGTGGCCCAATCTTAGCTCACTGCAACCTCTGCCTCCCAGGCTCAAGTGATCCTCTCACCTCAGCCTCCAGCATAGCTGGAACTACCAGCATGTGTCACTGTGCCTGGCTAATTTTTTGTATTTTTTGCAAAGACAGGGTTTCATCATGTTGCCCAGGCTGGTCTTGAACTCCTGTGCTCAAACAATCAGCCTGCCTCGGCCTCCTAAAGTGCTGGAATTACAGGTGTGAGCCACTGTGTCTGGCCATTAAGTCTTGATGTCTGCTGAAAAAGGTCTTCCCACCTTGTTTTTCCTTAGGATGGTATGGGCCATTTTTGGCCCTTTGCATTTTCATACAAATCTTGTAATCAACTGTCTATTTTCATGAAAAAAAAAAAACCAGTTAGGATTTTGACAGGAATTACATCACATCGATAGATCAATTTAGGAACAGTTGGCGTCTTTCCAATATTGGGCATACTTAGGTTTTGGTTTTTTTTTTTTTTTTTTTTGACATGGATTAAATGATCCTCCTGCCTCGCTTCCCATTGTGTTGGGATTACAGCTGTGAGCCACTGTGCCTGGCCCAGACTTAGCTTTTTGATTGCTGTTAATGTTCTGAATATAATCTTATTTCAAATACTACAAAATACCAGGAAAATAAGACATAGGAAAGAGTATCTTTCAGAAATGCTCTCAAATAATTAAGGGGGAAAACAAACATACCTCCTTTCGGAACTAGGCTTTAGAATAAATCATGGTTTTGTACATGGCTCCTGAGATAGATTTTCCATCAGAGGAATCCAGCTGGGAAAATGAAGCCAACAGAGGGAATTTGATACAGGAAACAATACACAGAAAAGTTGAAAAAGGGAAGAAAAGAAGAAAGTGAGAAAACCCAAAGATTAGCAACTGCAGGCGCTGCTACGCCCATAGGGATGGAAGGATAAAGAAAGGATGAGCCTACCCGGAGCCCAGAAACATTAGCCACTTGGTAGGAGTGGGAACCTCTGCCAGCTAGGTAGGTGGGATTTGGGGCCATGGGGAGGAGGGGCTGTATGATGGGAGCTGGAAGTACAGAAGAGACGCAGCCACTGCTAGAGATGCATCCCCTTCCTCCCAAGAAGAGAAAGGGGCAGAAATACCTTGGCTTCTTCTCTTTAGTGCTAGTGCCTTTTAGTGGCTGAACCTACCTGGGAACAATTGACAGAGAAGCCTGGGAAATATAGTTTGCAAGAGCCAGTCCCCTCAGTGACACAGAAAAGAGCAGGGGAGGGAACTGAAAAGCAAACCAACAAATAAATGCCATGTAGATCAAAACCACCCAGGAGTAGAGGTATTGAATTTAGATTTTCTCTTAAAATTCACAAATTCATTTCATTTGCATGTGTGAATGCTGATTAGGTGTCAAGCACAGTGGTAAATACATATTTCTTTGGTCATAACAAGCTACATGATCAATCACAACATTAATGGTGCTCTGCCTACTCTAGCAGAGTTCACCAGCCAGTCAGCGAGTAAAGCTGAGGGAGGTGTAGGTTAGACTCCTGTTCCAGAAATGGAGGGCAAGAGAGCACCACATCCAGTGAAACTGGCACCACTCTGGAAACTGCTGACCTGAAAATGGACGTTTACAGAAGTCCATGGGTTTCTGGCCAACAGGATAAATATTGATCTCTTGTGAATTTAAGTGTTTTCCTAATAAAGGGCACTATGTCAACAAGTAGTTTTCGTTGGGTAGTTTGGTCCTAGAACACATTTAGTACCTGGTTTCTTAGGTCAGATTCCTGATGCACTTGAACATAATTAAGAAATCAGAAACCAAACTTTCATCCAAAGAGAGGATGGAAATCATTTTTTAAAATCTACCAAATTATGGGTAAGATAACTCCATACGACTTGCATGCAGATACCTATTAGTAAAAATTAACATTTCTCAAGGGAAGGCGAGAGGTAGAGCCACAACCATTCAGGTGTGACAAAGCAGGGGATGTTCGTCTAAAAATCTGGAGTTTACATATAATGCGATGGTCAGATGAACAGTCTCACTTCTTATAATTGGAGAAAAATCAAGCAACTAATATTGAGAAATAGGATAACTATGCTTTGGGTCTGATGAATTGATAAGAGCCAAATCTCTTGACAAATCTGTAGTTTGCCACATATCACTTGGAAAGGATCTAGAATGAAGGGTGCTTGCAGGTCTTTTTTATGTCCCGCCCCGAAAGTCACACTCAGTTCGTAGAACAATTTAAAGTTTCCAAAGCACTTTCACAGATGCTGCACATTGGATTTTTACAAAAAAATGTTATGAAACTGACTGCTGAAGACTCTTAACACCCTCTTTACAAGTGAAGGATATGAGGTTAAAATTAAAAACGTGAAGTATTTTGTTTATGATCAAAACATTTGGTGGAAAGAAGCAGGCTGAGATTTGTTTTTGGTTCACTTCTTAAAATTAATTTTAAGACAATTATTTTTTCAAAAATTGAATGTGTTAACATATAGTCAAGTGATGAAGTGCACACACCTGAAGTATATAGATCATTCGAGTTTTGCCCATGTATACAGCCATGTCGTCAACACCCTGATCCAGAACATTCCCAGCACTCCAGGAAGCTCCCTTGTGCCTTCAGTCAACACTCCCTCCAGAGATAACCACTCCTCTGAAATCTACCACCATAGATTATTTTGGCCTGTTTTAAAACTTTGTATATGTGGAATCATGTATTAATAGTATGTGCTCCTTCATATCTGACTACTTTCACTCAATATTACATCTGTTGTGTATAGCAATAATTCATTCCTTTACATTGCTATGTAGTATTCCATAGTATGAATGGTGAAACAGTATATTTATATTCTATCATTGGCGGATATTTAAATTGTTTTCAGTTTGGAAATATGAATAAATATGCTATGAACACTTGTGTACTTGTGTCTTGGCAGACATAAGCTCTTGTTTCTAATACACTCGTTAGATATGTGTTAGATGTGTATGTGAAATTGTTGGGTCAGCTCTAGTAGATACTGTGTTTTTGTTTGTTTCTTTGTTTGTTCTTTTGTGACAGAATCTCACTCTGTTGCCCAGGCTGAAGTGCTGTGGCATGAATACAGCTCACTGCAGCCTCGACCTCCTGGAATCAAGCACTCCTCCCACCTCAGCTTCCCGTGTAGCTGGCACCACAGGCACATGCCACCATGCCCAGCTAATTTTTTTTTTCTGTAGAGATGGGAGTCTCACTTTGTTGCTCAGGCTAGTCTCCTGGCCTCAAGCAGTCCTCTCATCTTCACCTCCCAAAGTGCTGAGATTACACGTGTGAGCCACCATTCCCAGCACATACTACCAGGTTTCTGAAATGGTCGTACCGGGGACTGGGATTTGAATTTGGATTGTTTGAGTGTTGATGCTTTTGTGACATAACATTTCCACCTAGTGCAACCCCCACCCCAGAGTTGGAGGGAGAATGGGTGTCTCGATTCTGGGATGCTTTGGGTAGACGGCTGCTAGAAAAAGACCAAACCATGCTTCACTTACTTCACACATATGCTCAAGCCTTGGACCTAGGGCCAAAGGTTATTCTTAGTTACTCAGTGGTAATGCACAGATAAGGCAGAGAGAAAGAGCCTGAAACCCACTGAGAGAACACTCTCTTCATTTTACTCATTTTCTTAATCCTTTATTTAATACCTGTTCATTAAATTGATAGCAGAAAGACTATGTCAGTGTGGCAGGATAAGAGCATGCTCCAGTCTCCTTTGATTTCAGGCTCCAGAAGAGACTACGGAGATATTTCACACACATGTTCTCACGCATATGCACACACACACCTGTGCGCGTGCACACACACACAGGCACACCCTGCAGCAGATGCTGCTGGTTCCTTGCCCATTTCCCTCATCCATACCACTTGGATAGGACTAATGAAAAAGATTGGAGGAGGTTTGGGGTTTCTCTGATCCTGAAAGCAGAAGGGAACCTGGGGGTAACCGTGGAGAAATCTGATGGGGTACCTGGTGGGAGTACAGGCAGTGTGGCCCTTCCCTCCTCCAGCACTTGTGAGAAGCAGTGGGTCGCTGAGATGTCAGGGCTGCATCCTTTTCTGTTGGGATTCTTTCCACCTCTTAGTAGCAACTTCTTTCCACCTCTGGTGCCTTGATACTCACAACTTTTTTCTCCTCTTCCCCTGAAAAAGCCTTCTTCATATGGCACTCCTTCTAGGGACTTTTGAAGTTTGGTCTTATTACAAAATATGTACATAAATATGTAGAATTTCCAGCACCAAGCCAGACGTGGTGGCCAAGACCCTGAAATCACACCACTGTCAGGCCAGAAATGCTGATATTGAGAACCTAGAAGCAGTCCTGTGCTGTGTTTTGAGCTCTCCCTCCCCTTCTCTTCCTGCTGCATCTCCCTGGCCCTTCTCTCTGTGCTCATCCTCAGGAGTCATGAAATGTTAAGTTGGTTCTGCTTCTGCTATTCTGAGAGATTTGGCTGACTTTGCTCTGAGAGGAGGCATTCTTCTGCAGATGCTCAATTTTTAATTACTTATAGTGAATATTAGAGCGTACCAACTCCCAGGCAGACCTCTCCTCAACAAAAATGTATTCTATAGATGTAGACTCCAGGAAAACTTTATGTAGGTTAATTTCAGTTTTACAGCAATGAATATTTTATTTTTCAGTAATTCATAATGGCCCTTGAGGAGCCATTATTTTTATGTAAATATGCATAGTCTAAAACCTCCCAAGACGTAATTGCCCATATTTTTGTTATGGGTAACAAAGATATAGTTCTATAGTGAACCACTTCTCCTAAGTTATATTAAAGAGTTGCTCTCCCTCTTTTTTTCTTTCTAGTTTAATTAAATTTTTTTAGAGACAGGGTCTTACTCCACTGCCCAGGCCAGAATGCAGTGGTGTGATCATGGCTCACTATAACACTGACCTCCTGGGCTCAAGTGATCCTCCCACCTCAGCCTCTTGAGTAGCTGGGACTACAAGTGTGTGCCCCCATGCCCAGCTAATTTTTAAAATTTTTTGTAGAGATGTAGTCTCACTCTGTTGCTCAGTCTGATCTCAAACTCCTAGCCTCAAGCAATCCTCTGGCTTCGGCCTCTCAGAGTGCTGGGATTACAGGTGTGAGCCACTGTGCCCGGCCCTCCTCTCCCTCTCTTTCTCCCTCTCCTCCAGCTGACTTTCCTTCCATTTATATTCACTCAATCAACTCAGAAAGAGCACCAAATAATTTTATATTGCCATATAAACATGTTACTGTCTGAAACTGTAAATTACTAATGGATGAGCTAGTCTCACCTTAATCTTTTTGTCTTTTAGAAGGCATTTTATCCTGCCAGTTATGAAAATAAATATTAGAAAACTTACTGGATTTGGTCTCACTCCTCAAAGTACAATGGAGGCAGAATACACAGTTAATTTTGGAAAAGACAAAACTTTTGCAGAAATATAACCCAAGGGGCAATGTGGTATTACAGGCCCTACAGACTAAAGTAGAAACCTCAGGTACTATTAGGCCTCAGTCTACTGGAACATGGACCAGTTTCCAGCCTAGAGGTAAAAGAGGAACTAAAGAGGCATCCAGAAGATCTACCCAATTACAGCCCAACAAGAGAGTGAAGAATGATCAGGTTGGCTGGGCACGGTGGCTCACGCCTGTAATCTCAGCACTTTGGGAGGTGGGCAGATCACATGAGGCCAAGAGTTCGAGACTAGCTTGGCCAACATGGTGAAACCCCATCTCTATTAAAGATACAAAAATTAGCCGGGCATGGTGGTGCACGTCTGTAATACCAGCTACTAGGGAGGCTGAGGCAGGAGAATCGCTTGAACCTGGGCGGCGGAGGTTGCAGTGAGCCGAGATCACACCACTGCACTCCAGCCTGGGTGACAGAGTGAGACTCTGTCTTAAGAAAAAAAAAAAAAAAAAAAAGAATAGTTAGGGCATCATGAAGGATGGGAACTGCCTCCAGAGAAACATCTTAGCCATTGAAAAATGAAGCTGAACTCTTTGATTCTTGAATTTACCCAAGGACTTCATGAAATTGATAGCATTCTTCAAAGCTAGAGTGGTGGCTTGTTTACATAATAATGTAGTGTTTTTATTGCAATGCTTAAACACAGTTTTGGCAGTGGGGTTGTGGTGGGAGAAAGAAACAGGGAGAGTACGTAAGAGGCAGAGTGTAACACGCAAGCTCCTGCCCTCTGCTGTGGGTAAACCCACGCAGTGGTATTCATGGATGCTGCTGCTTCTTGCTTTGAGGAAAAAGGATACATAGATGATCATGCAAAGCTCAAAGCAGGCACTGAAATGCCAAGTCAGACAGTGGCCCGCAAAGCTTTCCTTTCCATAACCTCTTTTATACTTCTCCTGATCCCTCTAGATGTAAGGAAGACACCAAGAAAACTTTGGGAGATAAGGAAGAAGTAACTCAGAGACCATGCTCTGTCTCCTTGTCATCCTGTTGTAAGCATCCAAACGACCCAGATTACATAATCTGCCTGCCCCATGAGTACCTAATTAACATCCCACCACACCAGATCCAAAAGTGAAGAGGTAGTTTGCACAAAATGTGCTATTAAAAAGTGCTATTGATGCTAGGAGGCTCCAAACCAATATCATTCCTGGAACCATTTCATAACGACTTGTTCCTGAAGACATCCAAGGGGACAGAGTCCATGATTGGAATTTCAGACCCAGTGCAGGGGTTCCCCCAGGGACACTCTTTAATTAAGAACCTTCTCCAGATCCCTCAGTTTATAGCCTGTGGGTTGTGGCCCCTAGTGGGCCGGTTCTGCTCTGACTTCGTCTGGAAACAGTTCCTCTCATGATAACATCGAAGTGGACATTTCTGTGAGGACTGCAAAGTGGGTGGTGGGTTGGAAGGCCGTCCAGAGCTCCTGGGAGGAGGGTCTTGTTTATCTCTGGACCCTGACAGCATCTTGCCCAACCTCCGGGATGATTCCCTGGATCAGGATGTCTGCATTTCAGCTGGTTAAGGATCTTGTGGCATCACTTGACTGCTTCTACAGGTCTCATCTGTCCAAAACTAACACGTTTTGCCCCATTCCTATGGGCTCAGCCTTGCCTGAGTCTCAGAACCTCCCTTAGAGTCTGTTAAGGGAGATACACAGAGTTCAGCCCCTCAGAGTTCAGTATCAGGTCACATTTGTAGGTGGTCTGGCCCCATCTGGAGTCTGAGTTCTTGTAACTAGTCTTGTTTCTGATTCATTTCTGACCTGTCCCCAGCCACCTCCACTGCAGTCCAAGATTGTGTAATGTATGGTGAAGAGTTTGAGACCTCAGGTCAAATCCCATTTAGGCCACTTACCAACTGTGTGATTGTGGAACAAGTGACTTAACTATGAAACTTGCCTTCCTCATCTATAAAAGAAGGATGACAATGCCAACCTCAGATGCCTGGCCTGTGCAGGAAATGAGCTAGTTTTTGTAACCCCCTACTACTGTGCCTGGCACACGGTGGCATTCAAGACATGGCAGCTGCTATTGCGATTTCAAAACAATAGCAGCTTCATTGACATGTAATTTATACACAATGAAATACTTCCCTTTAAAGTGTAAAATTCAGTACTTTAGTATCTATGTACAGTTATACAACCATAGTCACTGTCTAATTTCAAAAAGCTTTTCATCATCCCAGCAAGAAACTCCGTATTTATAAGTAGTTACTCCCTATTCCCCCTCCCTCAGCTCCTGGCAACCGCTGATGTATTTCTGTCTCTATTGATTTGCCTATTCTGGACATTTTATATAATCATATAATATGTGGCTGTTTGTGTCTGGCTTCTTTCACTTAAAATAGTATTTTCAATATTCATGCCAGTTGCAGCATGTATCAGTACTTCATTTCTTTTCATAGCTGAGTACTGTTTCATTATGTGGATATACCACATTTTGTTTACCCATTCATCTGTTGATGGACATTTGGGTTGTTTCTACTTTGGGGCTATTTTGAATGATGCTGTTATAAATGTTTGTGTACAACTTTTGGGGCAACATATGTTTTCATTTCTCTTGAGTGTATACTTGGGAGTGGAATTGCCAGGTCATATGCTAACTTGTATGTTTAACTTTTTAAGGAACTGCCAAAGTGTTTATTACAGTGGCTGCACCATTTTATAGTCCCATCAACAGCATATGAGGGGTCCAATTTCATTATATCCTCACTAATTATTCTTGTCTGTCCTTTTGATTATAGCCATTCTAATGGATATGAAATTATATCTCATGGTGATTTGTAATTCTCTAATAGCTAATAATATTTGCATCTTTTCACATGCTTATTGGCCATTAGTATATCTTCTCTGAAAAAAATATATATTCAAATCCTTTTGTCATTTTTAAATTGAGTTATTTGTCTTTTTATTGCTAAGTTGTGAATTGTTTTATATCTTTTGTATATGTCTCTAATCTGATATACGATTTGCAAATATTTTCTCCCACTTTCTGGTTGTCTTTTCAATTTTTTCATGGTGTACTTTGAAGCACAAAAGTTTTAACTTTTGATGCCACCCGATTTATCTACTTTTTCCTTGGTTGCTTTTGCTTTAGGTTTTATATCTAAGAAATCATTGCTTAGTCTAAGGCTCGAGATTTTCTCCTATGTTTTCTTCTAAGAGTTTTATACTTTGAGGTCTTATGTTTATGTCTATGATCCATTTTGAGTTCATTTTGTATGTGATGTAAGGTAGGGATACAACTTCATTCTTTTGCATATGGATATCCAGATGAGTCAGCATTATTGTTGAAAAGAATATTCTTTCCCCCTTGAATTGTCTTGTCACCCTTGTACCAATTTTACATAAATGTATGTTTTTATTTTTGTATTCCAATTCTATTCTGTTGACCTATATGTCTATTCTTATGCCAGTACCACACAATCTTATTTACAGTAGCTTTGTAGTAAGTGTGAGTCATTCAACTTTGTTCTTTTTTTTTTTTTTCCAAGACTATTTTGGCTATTCTGGACCCCTTGAATCTCCATACAAATTTTAGGATCAGTTTGCCTATTACTGAAAAAAAAAACGGGATTTTAATAGTGATTGCATTGTAACTGTAGATCAGTTTGGGGAACACTGCAATCTAAGCAATATTAAGTCATATGATCCATTAACACAGGATGCCTTTCCATTTATTCAGGTATCATCTAATTTAACAAGGTTTTGTAGTTTCCAGTGTAGAAGTCTTGCATTTCTTTTGTTAAATTTATTTTTAAGTGTTTTTTTTTTGATGTTATTGTAAATGAAGTTGTTTTCTTAATTTCCTTTCATTGCTAGTATATAGAAATGCAATTGACTTTTGTGTATTCTTCTTGTTTCTTGCAACCTTTCTGAACTAGAACTTATCAGTTCTGATAGTTGTGTGTGTGTGTGTCAGCGTGTGTGTTTGCATTTCTTAGGATTTTCTATATACAGAATTGTGTCATATGCAAATAGGTATATTTTTACTTCTTTCTTTCCAACCTGGATGCCTTTCATTTATTTTTCTGGTCTAATTAGCCTATGTAGTGCTGCCAGTAAACTGCTTAACAAAAATGGCAAGAGTGGATATTTTTGTCTTATTTTTGTTTTGTTCCTGATCTCAGGGGGAAAGCTTTCAGTATTTTACTATTAAGTATGGTGTTAGCCATGGGCTTTTTATAGTAGTCCTTTGTCAGGTCAAGAAAATTTCCTTAGATTTCTAGTTTGTTGACTTTTTTTTTTAAATCACAAAAGACTGTTAGATTTTGTCAAATGCTTTTTCAGTATCTATGAGATGACCACATGGTAGTTTTTTTCCTTTTATTCTCTTAATAAGGTATATCATGCTGGAAGATTTTTAAATAATGAATGAGCCCTGCATATGTGGGATAAATCCCACTTGTTAATGACATCTAATGCCTTTTATATATTGTTGGCTTCAGTTTGCTAGTACTTTGCTTAAGCTTTTTGCATGTGTATCATAAGGTACATTGGCATTGTCTGGTTTTGGTATTAGGTTATCACTGGCCTGACAGGGTTGGGAAGTGTTCCTCTTCTTCTTCACTGTGTTTCCTTCTTCTTTTTTTTTTTTTGAAAGAGTTTGTAAATGATTCATCTTAATTTTACTTTAAATGTTTGATAGAATTCACCCATGAAGCTATCTGAAACTAGGCTTTCCTTTGGGGAAAGTTTTAAAATTACTAATTGACTATTCTTTACTTGGTATAGATCTGTTTGGATTTTCTATTTCTTCTTCTTCCCTTTTTTTTTTTTTTTTTGTTTTGAGACAGTCTCATCCTGTCACCCAGATTGGATTACAGTGGTATGATCACTGCTTACTGCAGTCTCAACCTCCTGGCCTCAAGTGATTCTGTCACCTCAACATCCCAAGGAGCTGGGACCACAAGCATGCATCACCATGCCCAGCTAATTTTTGCTTTTTTTTTTTTTGTAGAGACAGGGTTTTGCTTCTTGTCCAGGCTGGTCTCGAACCTTTCAGCCCAAGTGATCTGCCCACCTCAGCCTCCCAAAGTACTGATATTACAGGCATGAGCCACCATATGCAGCCTAGGTTTTCTATTTCTTCTTGAGTCCAGTTAAGTAGTTTTTGTTTTTCTTTGAATTTGTCCATTTCATCTGTTTTCTTATTTGTTGGCATACATTTACTCATAATATTGCCCTGTAGTCACCTTGCCTGCCCTATCAGTAGCCTATGACACAGCTGATCATTCTCTCCACCTTGAAATCCTTTTTTTACTTAGTTCCTGAGACACTGCACTCACCTGTTTCTCTGAGCTCTTCATTTCAGGTTCTTTTGTTGTCTCCTCATTCCCCAAATCTCTAAACATCAGAGTGTCCCAAACCTCAGCACTGGACTTCTTCTCTTCTCTATCCATTCTTCCTTCTTGGTGCTCTCATCCAGACTCTTGATTTTAAGTATCATCATTAATTAGGTGACATCTTCAAGATTTATAACTCCAATTCCAATTGCTCTTCTGAATTCTGGCTCAAATATGCAATTGCCTACCTGACATCTATACTTAGATGTTGCATATCCATTTCAGACCTCACCTGTCCGACACTAAACTCTTGATATTCCCATGTGAATGTGCTGTTCCCTTAGACTTCCTCATCCCAGTAAATGGTGTCTCCATAATTTCAGGTGCTCAGCCACAAACCTTGGAGTCATTCTTAACTCCTCTGTCCTCTCATATCCAATAGCTAATCTTTTTAAGAATCCTGTGGACTCAACCTTTAAAATATATCCAGAATCTGGCCACTGATTTCCACCTCCATTGACTACCACCACTGCCACAGGTCATCATCAACCCTCACCTACACAATGAACGGCCTCCTCAGTGGTCTTCCTACTTCTGTCCTTGTCTCTTTACAATCCTTCCTCCATATAATATCTAAACAGAGTACACTAATGTCTTTAGTCAAGTCATGTCATTCCTCTTCTGAAAATGCCCTCAACAGCTCTCGTGTCATTCATGAGACAGAGTCTTTACAGTGGCTACCAGCCCTTTACAATTCAGCTCTCAGTATGTCTCTCATGTCTCCTGCTTTCCCCCTCATGTACTCTTCTCCAGGAACACTTGCCTCTGTGCTGTTCCTTAGACATGCCAAGTATTCTTCTGTCTCAGGTCCTTTGCACTCACTGTGCCCTCATCCAGGGCCAGAGATTCTCATCCTCCTTCCCTCCCTCCTTCAGGGATTTCCTTCAATGCCACCTTTCGGTGTGGCCTTCTGAGATTTTCTCCCTCTCCCTTTGCCAGCATGCTCTATCCTTTCTTCTGTTCCATTGTTCTCCTAAGCACTTACCACACCAGTAAAACACCATGTATGTTTTAATTGTTTGTTTCCTATCTCTCCCACTAGAGTCTAAGCTCCATGAGGGCAGGAGTTTTCGCCTGTTTCATTGTGTCCTCTATTCCAAGCACCTAGAACAGTACCTGGCTCATAGTGGCTGCTATGACGGTTCCCATATCTGGCTGTGCTTCGTTCATTCATTCAACAATATGCATATTGCATGTGCATGAATGAATGATGCACAACCAGGTATGGGAACCACTATTAGGGAGGGCATTCAAACAGCATGAGGGTGGGTGGTCTACTCTTGGGGCCAAAATTATGATATAGTGTGATTTGGGGAAAGGTGTACTGAGTGCCTACTATGTGCATGACACTGTGGAAGACAAAACAAGACATTGACCGGACCCTGATCCTTTCGATCAATTCAATTTGACAAGTGAGCTCCTGCAGAGAGTCTGACATTGTGCAAGTTGTTGGGATTCAGGGACAACTAGGACACACAGTAACTGCCCTCAGTGAGCCTGTCAAGAATTCAAAGAAGCAAATACATTATTATAATACAGGATTATGAGTGCTTCTTTGGAGGAAAATACAAAATACAAAATTGGGCCACTAGATATTTCAAAGGTTGGCAGAGGCCCTCAAGGCTTCCACTGGAGATGATTTTTAACTGGCTCGTAAGTAAATATATGTCAGAGAAGCTTATTATTTCATAGGATGATGAGTAACATTAAAGACAAAACAGTAGTTACAGGAAGTGTGCCACTCATCTTTGAGTTGCCTCATACTAGCTTGAGAGAGCTGATTGCTAAATTTTCAGAAACTTCAAGAGTTGATTAACATCATGTTGGTAGCTTGAACTTGGCCATGGTGGGAGAATACAGCACATAAACCAGCTGCATATATATCAGGGTTTCCCTGCCAGCACCTACTCAGTGGAGCTGTTTGCTAAACATTTACCAGTGCACCGCTGGGCATAGGACAGATGTGTTCCCATGGTTTATACCATGGGATAGTCATAGCAGCTGTCAGTTAGGGACAATACACCTAGGTGATGGAATCTGATCTGGGCCTTCCTGGTGGGCAAGACTTGAACATCCCAAAGTGAAGATACTGGGTGGAATAGAATCCCCCCAAAATTCAAGTTAATCTGGACCCTTAGAATGTGATCTTATGTTAGAAATAGAGTCCTTGCAGAGGTCACTAGTTAAGGTGAGGTTATACTGAATCAAGACCTTAAATTCAACAACTGGTGTTTTTATATGAAGAGGGAGATTTGGATACAGAGAAGCAGAGGAAACCCAGGAAAGAATGTCATGTGAAGAGGGACACATGGAGATATGTAGCAATTAGGTTGGTGCAAAACCAATTGCCATTACTTTTAATGGCAACAACCGCAATTGGTTTTGCGCCAACCTAATACAAGCCAAGGAATGCAGAAGATTGCTGTCAACCATCCGAAACTGGGAAGAAGCAAGGAAGGATGCTTCCCTGTAGGATTCAGAGAGAACACAGTCCTGGTGAAACCTCGATTCTTGATTTCAGACCTCTAGCTTCAGAACCGTGAGAGAATAAGTTTTAAGCCACCAAGTTTGTGATAGTTTGTTACTGCAGCCCAAGGAAACCGACACAGAATTGGATGAATAAGGAAAAAGAGGTGGGGATGTAGAAGGGATGGGCAATGGATGGGGAAGGATAAGAGCCGTTCCCATGTATTGAGGGCTTCTATAAGCCTCCTCCATTCCTATGATGTGCTTCCTGCATCTTAAACATCATTTCTGTGAATCCTTAAAATACTCCCATGAGGCAGAGTTCATTATGCTCGTCCTGAAGATAAAAACAGCACAGTTAAGAGACGTTAAGCAGGTTGGGCATGGTGGCTCACGCCTGTAATCCCAGCACTTTGTGAGTCGAGGCAGGTGGATAACCTGAGGTCAGGAGTTCGAGACCAGCCTGGTCAACATGGTGAAACCCTGTCTCTACTAAAAATACAAAAAAAAAAAAAAAAAATAGCTGAGTGTGGTGGCAGGCAGCTGTAATCCCAGCTACTCGGGAGGCTGAAGCAGGAGAATCACTTGAACCTGGGAGGCAGAGGTTGCAGTGAGCCGAGATTGTGCCATTGCACTTCAGTCTAGGCAACAAGAGTGAAACCCCATCTCAAAAAAAGAAAAAAAAAAGCAATTTGCTCAAGGTGACACAGCTATTTATGACAGAACTCTGATTTGAAACAGCCTTGTTGGCTTTTAATGCTCACATTCCTTCCTCTGCCTGGCTGATGTTCTGTCCCAGGTGGGCAAGAACCATCTCAACAATCTCAAGTGATGGAGATGGAAATGAGATATTAAAATCTTCAATGTCTACATCAAGGAAGAAGGACAATGAGATTTTAGGGCCCAAGTAGAGTTCAATATCTTTGGCATTGCAAAGATCACCTTAACCTGGTAGAAAGATTTGGAAGTCATTAACGAATAACACTTCAAGTAATCACAGACATGCTAAGAAAAATTCTATAGGGGAACTGAGACCCTTTGTATTGGAGGAAACCCACCATCATGTTAAGAAGAGATAGAGCAGCTGAGGTATATGTTGATTAAAATCTTTTCTCCCCCCAAATGGTGCCTTTTATGCAGCATTGCAGTCAAATGTCACAGTTAAGGGAATAAAAATCTGGTTACTAGAACAGCAGGCCACAGGGAGACAACATTGTGCACATTTGTACACATAAGACAAACTTCGACTGTGAAAATGTTTCCAACAGAGTTAAAAGGGAAGAATCACATCAAGCTACTGTGGTGAGTATTGCACTGCATTCAGGATATATTTAATGGATAAAAAGCCAGTGACTAGCCAGGCACAGTGGTGCATGCCTATGTATAGTCCCAGCTACTCGGGAGGCTGAGGCAGAATGATGGCTTAGCCCAGGAGTTCAAGGCTGTAGTGCAGTGAGCTATGCTCTCATTTTACCATTAGGATTTCATTTGAATTTGTATACGGATAAGGGTGATCAACCAATTATGTAATATAAGGGAACATTTCTAACGTATGTGCACTAGTTAAATGGGAGGAGCATGTAATTATAATTTTCTGAATTCCTCACCTTACCTTGTTTACAAATACGTAGCCTACATATGGGACATGATTTTTCTCATCTAATTACTAAATTTATTAAAAGTCTAACATTAAAAATGATGACATTTTACCTATTTGGTTTTTTTTTTTTTAATTATGGTGGTTAGAACGTTTTAATCTGTGATTCTAACTCTCTGGGATCTGAAGTTGGCTTAGCAACAAGAATTGGCTTCCATTAGGCCCATATCTCACTGGAGTATTCAACAGAGAGATAAAAAACTAGTAGCCTGAGGGCCAAGCTTGGCTGTCACTAAAGTGAGTTATGTTTGGCTCTTACTGGTTGGTTGTCTTAAACATTTGAATTCAAACGCCTTTAGTTGAAGTTTGACCACACTCTGTCTCCACCACTCTTTACGGTCTCACATCCAGCCCAGTGCCCACAGTTTATCATCTAGGTGGCCCTTGAAAACCTTTGCTTCTGCTATCGCTGAAGGGAATGCTTTGTTGGACTATTTTTCCCATACTTGCAGAAATATTTGTTATTTTGATTATGCTTCTAATTCCTACAGAAGGCATATTAGTTATTCATACTTCAGGGTGAAATAGTTCAGTTGGATTGCTGTTCTCTTCAAGTCTAAAGTCCAGCCTGGAGAATCCTGGAGTTTTTCTGGTAGGGAGTGTGTATCCTTGAAGCTTAAATGATTAAGGGAAAAGGGTAAGCCGAGACGGACCAGGTAGAAGGGAAGTTTGGGTGGTCAGAGCAACAGGCCAGGAAAGAGGGAGTCCCCACTGATGACGTGATGAGTAGTGTGGCCATGAGAAAATTCCTTCCCAGCATTTCTGGACAATTTATATACTCTTCTACATCCCAAATTCTGAGACAAATCAGTTGAGAAAATGGAAAAAATGTATTGCAATTCTGCGAGAATTAAAGCTTAACAATCAGCAGAGGCCCCAGTGGTTTGAGAGATTCATCGAGGGATCCACTGAAGGCAAGATCAACTGACATAGCAGTTGAAGGTTGAGGTCAACGTTTCTGAGAGCAAGGCAGGGAGCACATGTAGAGAAGGTGCCATGGGCTGATCAGTCTGCCTTGCTTATAACTGATACCATGTTACAAGCATGTGTTCCTGGCCCTGTCTGCTGCTAACTGGGAGGCGTTTTTGCAAATAAAATAAATATTAAGAACTTTACACTTTTTAGGTCAGGTGCAGTGGCTCACACCTGTATTCCAAGCACTTTGGGAGGCTGAGGCAGGTGGATCACCTGAGGCCAGGAGTTTGAGACCAGCCTGGCCAACATGGTGAAACGCTGTCTCTACTAAAAGTATAAAAATTAGCTGGGCATGATGGCGGGTGCCTGTAGTCCCAGCTACTCAGGAGGCTGAGGCAGGAGAATCACTTGAACACAGGAGGCAGAGGTTGCAGTGAGCCGAGATTGTGCCACTGCACTCCAGCCTGGGTGACAGAAAGAGACTCCATCTCAAAAAAACAAAGAGAAAGTTTTAAAAATAAAATTGAAAAAAGAACTTTGCACTTTTTATAGCATACTTTACACAGACCCTAAGAGTGATGTTCCAAGAAATAACAACTTTTGGAAGCAAAAAAATCTATAAATTGATGATTTTGAATTGCGATTTCTATGTAATGCTGTTAACTTTGCTGGGCTAGATTTGATTCAAAAACTACTTAGTAATGTTTGCTAGCCTTTGACAAGGTTTGGATATTTGCAATAGGTTATAGTTCTTTGTAAATACTACTAGACAGAATATTTCTTATTTATTAAAATAAGTTAAATCTAGGCAGGCACGGTGGCTCATGCCTGTAATCTCAGCACTTTGGGAGGGCGAGGCAGGTGGATCACTGGAGGCCAGGACTTTCAGACCAGACTGGTCAACATGGTGAAACCCTGTCTCTACTAAAAATACAAAAATTAGCCGAGCGTGGTAGGGGGCACCTGTAATCCTAGCTACTCGGGAGGCTGAGGCACAAGACTTGCTTGAACCCAGGAGGCGGAGGTTGCAGTGAGCCGAGATGGTGCCACCGCACTCCAGGCTGGGCTAGAGAGCCAGACTCAGTCTCAAAACAAACAAACAAACAAAAAATGTTAAATCCAGAATAATGAGTAAATAACTTCCGATTTCTCATTTCCAAGTTCTAGGTATTAGTATTAATATTTATTGAGAATTTGAAAACACTACAAAAAATGAGAATATAAAAAGGTGAGTAAGAGTCTGTTTTGAAACTTTGCCTCAGGCCAATCTTGTTCCTGGAGGAAAAATAATGGTCTCCAGGAGGCATGGGTTTCTACCAGGAAGCGAAGTTATTGAGTAAATGTCACAGGCTAAAGAAGCCACAGGGATTTGCTCTTGTTTGTCTATCTCCCGTGTTCTCAATTTCATCTAGAAACATCACTTGACTTTTATCTTGGCTGACAAATCAGCTCATGTACCTAAGGAAGCTTAACTGAACGTGGCAACCCGAGCTGCTGTTTTGGTCATGGAATCAGATGTCTTTTACTATTCTGAGGCCCAAAGAGCCCAGGGTGAAATAGCAGCATCTGCGGCTTCCCATGTGTCAACTGCGTGTTTTCCAGCCCAGACCAGTTCCGGTGGAACAAGATGTGATCAACCATATCAGGTTCTCTAAGTGCAGTGATCGCTCTTCTGAGAAGAAACTATTCTTTATCACCATTGTGATGAATTGTGACACAAGTGTCTCTGCATCTGATGCCCTCTCATCCCGGGATGCTGGCAAGCAAAGACAGAGCAGGAATGAAATTTATCAGGCACGTGTTTAACTTCTCACTTCGACCCAAATCAAAATGGAAGCCTCCTTCGTTGCTTATCAAAGCCCATAAACCAACAATATTGAGGTGTTTGCTAGCAAGGACAAAGTTGGAAAACAGCTCATGCCTCTTATACTTTAAGGAGTATAATAGACAATGATTGGCCTCTGTTCTACTCCCTTTTTTAAAAAAGTGGGAGAGCTGGGCGCGGTGGCTCATGCCTGCAATCCCAGCACTTTGGGAGGCCGAGGTGGGTGGATCACGAGGTCAGGAGATCGAGACCATCCTGGCTAACACGGTGAAACCCCTTCTCTACTAAAAAAAAAAAAAAAACAAAATAATTAGTCGGGCATGGTGGCGGCTGCCTGTAGTCTCAGCTACTCGGGAGGCTGAGGCAGGAGAATGGCGTGAACCCGGGAGGCGGAGCTTGCAGTGAGCCGAGGTTGCACCACTGAACTCCAGCCTGGGTGATAGAGTGAGACTCCGTCTCAAAAAAAACAAAAAACAAACAACAACAACAACAACAAAAACAGGGGATAGTGAGAACATAGTTCCCACTGCCACAAATTATGCAGTTGCGTTTCCCACATTTGGGGAAATCACAGGATCAGCACCTCTGGAGTGCAGTGGAACCTCACCCTGGGAAAACCACCTTCATGATCATGGTATCTCCCCTGCCAGGTAAGGATCTGTTCCACTCACGTTTTATGTGTGTGGCCAGTGGAGGGAAAAATTAAAATTAGATTTGCTTTCTAGTCTAAAAGGACCACTCATTTTGATATAACAAGCATGTGTTGATTGTTATATCATCTATATAATTAGATATAGATGTGCATGCAAAGTTTAGATCCCGTAGATGTGGATGATGTACATGGAGTGGATGACGTCGATGTAGTTGACATAGATATTGTAGATGCTGTAGAGGTAGCTGTCGACTACGTAGATGCCAATGTAGAGTAGATGGTGTAGATATATACACAGATTTAGATAGAGTAGATGCAAATATAGATGCAGATGTGCATGGCATAGCTGTAAATATGGATGCAGATGAGGTAGGTGATGTAGATTAGAGTTTCTTAACCTCAACACTATTGATATTTTAGGCCGGATATATCTTTGTTGTCAAGGACTGTCCTGTGCATTGCAGGATTTAGCAGTATCCCTGGGATTTAGCAGCATCTCTGGCCTAGATGCTGAGGGCATTTCTTCCCCCAACCCTGAGTTGTAACAATAAGAAGTCTTTCTGGAAGTTGCCAAATGTCCCTGGGCAAAGTTTCTCCAGTTGAGAACCACTGGTACAGAAGGTGTAGATAAAAATGTTGATGTAGATAATGATGTAATATAAGCATAGGTATAGGTGATGTAGATAGTAAAGATGAAAATGTAGCTGTAGATGATAAAGCTGTGAACACAGATGTAGGCAGAGTATGTGTAAATATAGAGGCAAATGATGTTATAAGATACAGCCTATAGATAAATGATATAGCTGTAAACATTGACATAGATGACATATTTGATATAAATAAGGCAGATGTTATAAACTTTATGATCTGGGCAGAAAACTATATGTGCTGATAATGCAGATGGCATTTCTTTGACCCCCTTTTGTTTTGTCTTGTTTTGTTTTGTTTTGAGATGGAGTCTCGCTCTGCTCCCAGGCTGGAGTGCAATGGCGAGATCTCGGCTCACTGCAACCTCTGCCTCCTGGGTTCAAGCGATTCTCCTGCCTCAGCCTCCCGAGTAGCCAGACCAGCCGGGCTAATTTTTGTATTTTTAGTAGAGATGGGGTTTCATCATGTTGGCCAGGCTGGTCGGTCTGGAGTGAGCCACTGCACCCAGCCTGACCCCACTTTTGGAAAAATTTCCAGACGGTGGATAAGCAGCGTCCTGTTAGGAATAGTTTAAGCACGGTATAGCCTGGAGACTGAGAGACTGCCCAGGTGACCTATTAAGGTTCTTTTTGATGTAACCACCTGATCCTGAGATATCACAATTTCTATTAAAGGCTGATACTCAGGGTGAAAAAGAAAAAAAAATGAATGATGAAAACCAGCAAGACATGAGACTCAAAGATATCCCTTCATTAATATAAGATCACATGGGAAACCTCAGATGGTCTTTCTATTCCTTCAGTAAATCTTAGTAGGATATTCGCACACCAGACAAAACTAAGCAAGTGTTTCTGCTTTCCCCACAATCCCAGCCTCTCACAGACATCCCCAAGTTGCCAACTCACAACTAGCTGACCCACAGTTTAAGCAAATTCTATCCATAGTCCCGAAGGAACCCGACCTATGTCCCAGAGAAGAGAAACATTCTATTCTCCCAAGGTCATGGTTCTCTACCAATCCCAGACTCAACACATTTAGCAAATTGTAAACCTCTCCAAATCATTTTTCAGGACCTGCTGAAAGTGCATTGGCTGTGAACTGTGGCATTTCCAAATATCCAGGACATTTGCTGAATAGAAGGAAATGAGAGTTAGTCAATTAGTCAGCATTTATTCAGTTATGCCAGGGCTGTGGTCAGGGTCTGTGGGCTGCTGATGAGTTTTCTGGCAGGGTTGAAAGAAGATTAAACCTGAGTGACTCTGCAACACGGGTAGAGAGTTATTGAGCAGTAAATAGTGAAATAAACCACCTGTACCAATTAGGAATCTGGTGGAGGATGTGCACCTCCTGATTGATTCTGGGAAGAATTTTTTTTTTTTTTTTGAGACGGAGTTTGTTGCCCAGGCTGGAGTGCGATGGTGCGATATTGGCTCACCACAACCTCTGCCTCCCGGGTTCAAGTGATTCTCCTGCCTCAGCCTCCTGAGTAGCTGGGATTACAGGCATGCACCACCAAGCCAGGCTAATTTTGTGTTTTTAGTAGAGACAGGGTTTCTCCATGTTGGTCAGGCTCGTCTTGAACTCCCGACCTCAGGTGATTCGCCTGCCTTGGCCTCCCAAAGTGCTGGGATTACAGGCGTGAGCTACCACGCCCGGATGATTCTGGGAAGATTTATGCTGGGCTTTGAATGAATGATGAACAGGAAGTTTGTCCACAAGTCTGGAGGATGAGAGTGGACACAGTACAGCAGATGTTTTGGGTGCCCTGCCCATGCCCCCTCGGGCCTTAGCATTTTGTGCCACAGCACCTGACTTTCAACTGCCAGCATCTGCCTCTTTGCCCGAGGGCTTTGTCTGGTGGCCAGAGCTTGCTTTGCCCATTCACACAGCAAGCTGGAAGCACTTGGAAATTAGTGCCCTCCCAGTTTCAGCCTTCAATCAAAGATGGATGGGGACTGGTGTTTAAATACCCTAGCTGCCTTACTCCTTTTGCAGGATAACTTTGAAGCTTACAATCTGCACTGGCTCCAGTAGGCTTAAGTTCCAGATGCCCACAGTGGTAACTTGCTTGATAATGTACCTTTTACTGCTTCTTTCCCTCTCCTGTCTCAGTTCCTTGCTTTCCCACTCAAATAAACTACTTGCACTTGAATTTGTGCCGGAGAGTCTATTTCTGGGGGGAGCCTAAGACACACAGGCCGTGAATAGATTCTCTGAAGGTCCTTCTGGCTCCTTATTTTCTATCTTGATATCCATTAAGGCAAACAGAAAGCAGAGAAGGCAGGATCTGCCAAACTTTCTTACCTCAGCCCAGAAAATTCAAGGGCATCTTTTCCTGGCAACGAAGAAACTCTGTGCCTTTGGGAGCAGCTGCCACAGCGTCAGCTCTGGCCTCATGTTACTTAACCACAGACATCAACACCTCCCCTTATGGAATTTGAGAGGCATCAGAAATACACTGAAAGAACAATGGCAGAATCCTGGCTGTCACCTCAACACATCTCTCATGTTCCAGTTCATCTCTGTCCCAGTCTGATACGTGGCAGCATGACATACTTTAAAGTGCACGTCTAATCACTAATGGAACCCTTGGAGAAGAAGTTTCCATGCTCCTGGAAGCTAACTGCACACTAAGCATCTGAGCAAAAGTCAAGTGGACACATTGATCTTTGGTTTTCCCCCAGACATTGGGCCAGAAGGAGGCAATCAGTGAACTAGCGAGACAGAAGAAGAAATTCTTTCCCCTTCAGTGAGGTTAAAGCCTTTGCAAACTCAGCACTTAGAACAGTGCTTTTTGTGGGGGGTGTAACTCATTTGAGGAGTGATAGGAAATGCCTCCATGTTTTGTAGAAATAAAGTAACTGCCAGGCACAGTGGCTCATGCCTCTAATCCTAGAATTTTGGGAGGCCAAGGTAGGAGAATTGCTTGAGCCCAGGAGTTCAAGACCAGGCTGGGCAACATTGCAAGAGCTCGTCTCTACAAGAAATTAAAAAATAAAAAACTAGCCAAGCATAATGGCTCATGCGTGCAGTCCCAGGTACTCAGGAGGCTGAGGCTAGAGGATTGCTTGTTCCCAGGAGGTCAGAGGCTGCAGTGAGACATGATAATGCCACTGCACTCCAGCCTGGGTGACAGAGTGAGACCCTGTCTCAAGAAAAGCAAAACGAAAACAAAACTGTTGGTGATGTCTATATGCTCACAGAAGTCCAAATGGGGAGGTGAAATAGTCATTTGCGGTTGTAGGGGTTACTTAGCATCCTAATGCCCTTCCCTCTGTGATGTGGTCATGAAGGCAGGCAGGATCTACTTCCCACTATAGAAAGGAGCGGAGCCAGATGCCCTTTTGCTGGTCCCTGGCCACTAGAGGACAGTCATATTATCTAGTCTCAGCAAATCAAATGCTCCCACCCAGGATGAAGGGGTGGCCTGCCCCTCCACACCTGTGGGTATATCTTGTCAAGTGGGACGAGAGACTGAGAAAAGAAATAAGACACAAAGTATAGAGAAAGAACAGTGGGCCCAGGGGACCGGCGCTCAGCATACAGAGGACCAGCACCAGCACCGGTCTCTGAGTTCCCTCAGTTTTTATTGATTACTATTTTCACTATCTCAGCAAGAGGAATGCGGTAGGAGAGCAGGGTGATAATAGTGAGAAGATCAGCAAGAAAACATGTGAGCAAAGGAATCTGTATCACAAATAAGTTCAAGTGGAGGTACTATGCCTGGATGTGCATGTAAGCCAGATTTATGCTTTTCTCCACCCAAATATCTCAGTGGAGTAAAGAATAACAGAGCAGCGTTGCTGCCAACATGTCTCGCCTCCCGCCACAGGGCGGTTTTTCTCCTATCTCAGAATAGAATAAATGTACAATCGGGTTTTATACCGAGATATTCGGTTCCCAGGGGCAGGCAGGAGACGGTGGCCTTCCTCTTTCTCAACTGCAAGAGGCTTTCCTCTTTTACTAATCCTCCTCAGCACAGACCCTTCACGGGTGTCAGGCTGGGGGACAGTCAGGTCTTTCCCATCCCACAAGGCCATATTTCAGACCATCATATGGGGAGAAACCTTGGACAATACCCGGCTTTCCAGGGCAGAGGTCCCTGCGGCTTTCCGCAGTGCATTGTGCCTCTGGCTTATCGAGACTGGAGAATGGGGATGACTTTTACCAAGCATACTGCCTGTAAACATTTTGTTAACAAGACACATCCTGTACAGCCCTAGATCCCTCAAACCTTGATTCCATATAACACATGTTTCTCTGAGCTCAAGGTTGGGGCAAAGTTACAGATTAACAGCATCTCAGGGCAAAGCAATTGTTCAGGGTACAGGTCAAAATGGAGTTTCTTATGTCTTCCCTTTCTACATAGACACAGCAGCCGTCTGATCTCTCTTTCTTTTGCCTACACCAGGACTTTTAATTTAGACTCAGGGATAGTTTAGAATTTCAAGCAGCCGCAGCATCTGGCTCCTGTGTTCAGTTGTGTTGATGTCCAGCAGCCAGAGTGGCAGCAGAGCCACAGTTAGGGACATCCTACCCAGACTGCCCCTGAAGCATGGCCTAGGCTGTGTCCTTGCTGCCTGGCCTCCCTCAGAGCCTGCCTGATTTCAAAACCTGGTTACCCATCCTGTCAATTCTATTAGCCACCTACTATCCTTCTATTAAAGTCAGCCAGAATCCTCTTCTGTTATGTGCAACTGAGAACCCTGAGTGGCATAGAAATTGATATCCCATATACACAGAGCTTCCTCTGGAGGTCAGAGACCTGGGCCCTTGTCCAGGAGGCATCTAGATAGCTGTGGGGGCTTTTGTCTCCAACCCTTCGGGGGCTTGACTGCATAGTTGCTGAGATTATTTTTCTGTTCTATGATTTTTCTATGATTCTTCCTAAAATGTTGGCCAGTGAAGACCCAAAGCTACCTGAGCTCCTGTAGCCTTAGTGGTGACGAGTATGGAAAAAGATGTCATTGTGTGACAGCCACAGATGGGTCTGGTCCAAATCAAATCACTTGAGTATCTCAAGTCATATTCAGTTCCTCACTTTCCCACTATGCCCACTATATGTCTGCATAGGTCCCCGAAGAAATGAATGTACCTGGTAAACACTGCTTTGGTACATCAAGGGCAAGAACATCCATGGTTCATTTAACAACATGCACAGATATCTGCTCAATGAATGGGCCCATTGGAGACAAAGAGAACCAGAGGTGATAAGACAGTGAGAGTGACTGGCACTTTTTTAATACATGGTAATCTAAATAGTTCTGGTGCCCTGGCAAAAAGTCTGGGGAATGTAAATGTGCCTCTAATAGGCACAGATAATGGGCATTTTTAGGGGGAAGAAGTAATTGGTTTTTAAGCCACAGTCACACTGTGGCACAAAGCAAATGCATGGAAAAACTGCTTGAAGCAATATGGGTCAGGAAACCTTTTATAGTTAATGGTAAACCAATCTATTTGGAGAGTGGCTTAAAAGCAGCTTTTAAAGGAGAGAGAGACTACTATAGTTTGGCTTAAAAGGTATGTCAACCAAATGCAAAATCCTTGTTTGAATCCTGATTCAAACAAACCAACTGTAAGAAGGCATTTTTGAGACAACTGGGGAAAATTGAATATGGACTAAATAGTAGATGATGTTCAGGAATTATTGATTATTTTCTTGGGAGTATTATATTCTGGTTGTTTTTAAAAAGTACAAGGCTGGGCACCATGGCTGATGCCTATAATCCCAGCACTTTGGGAGGCCGAGGCGGGCAGATTGCTTGAGCTCATGGGTTCCAGACCAGCCTGGGCAACATGGTGAAATGCTTTCTCCACCAAAAATACAAAAAAATTAGCCGGGTGTGGTGGTGCATACCTATAGTCTCAGCTACTCGGGAGGCTGAGGTGGGAGGATCACTTGAGCCTGGGAGGCAGAGGCTACAGTGAGCCAAGATCACACCACTGCACTCCGGCCTGGGTGACAGAGCAACAACAACAAAAACATACTTATCCATTGGAGATACATGCTGAATTTGCAGCTGCAATAAAATAATGCCGTAGATTTTATTTTAAAATACTCTAGCGCATGCAGTACTACTCAAAGTCTGAGGATTGGGGCCAGTTTGCAAATTGTGTGCTCTTGGTCTGTAATAAGTGCAGAAATTGACAACAAATATTTAGAAATGGCTATAGTACTTTGACATTGCCATGGCATCCAAGTAGTGAGTGGTGGACTCTAATGAGAATAGAACTTAGTTTGGGTGTTGTCAAACCTGCATAGTGTGTTATGTGTGGCTTGGGTGTGAGCTGTGTGCTGGTATTGGTCCATGGCAGATCGGAAATTGAACAAAAGAGTCCTTAGCTTGAGGAGCAGTGTCTTGGCGCACACACACACACACACACACACACACACACACACACAGAGGGAGGTGGTGGTGGGATCTGCTGAAAAAGAATGGCAGAAAGCTGATGGCTGTTGAAGGTAGGTGATCAGTACATGGAGTTCATAATACAATTCTCTCTATTTTTGTGTATATTTGAAAATCTACATTATTTGGTATATTGAAAAGTTTTAAAAATCAGCCTGTTGATGGAGATATTTAAAAATATACATTTTAAATGCATATGTTTACATTGAAACATACTGTGTGTGTGTGTATTTCAAATAAAATAACATAGAAATGACACATAGAACACACAGCTCCCAGGGGTATTATACATAATGATTCAAGTAAAACTTTCTTATTTTACAAAAGAAGGCTTAGGTAAACAAACAATGCCATTTGCCAGATCATGAGCTTGGTGAGCTTTTATTATATAATAAACTCTAATTACATAATAAACTTTTTGAAGCTATGGATCTGGTGAGATACAACTTCTGTGTCTCCATAGCACTCCACCCATGATACTGCAGAATAAATAGTGCCTATTAAACAGTGGTTGATAAACAAACTCAGGAAATGAACTGTTATGGACAGCAGTTTAATTCTCCGTGCAATAACTCCACACTGCTCAATTAATTTGAAAATTAGTTTCCCGAATCCACCCTCTTAGAGATTTGTCACAGAACGTTTAAGCCTGAGGGGGACCGGGAGCTTTGTTAATGTCCTCATTTGCAGACACGGAAATGAAGTTCAGAGGAGGTAGATGAGCCTCACTGGACACCCTGCTCGTTAATGGAAGTGCTTTAGCCTCTCACGCCTGCAACTGGACTCTTCCTTCCACCATGATGTCTTTCAGAAGGTACGAACCCATCTCCGACACTGGCCCCTTGCTCTTGGTTTTAAAATTATAGTTTCAGTTGTAGGAAAGAGAAAGATGTTGTCAAGCTGACTCCACCAGGAAGCTGAAAAGGAAGTGTGAATACAGAAAAAAATTACGTCTTGGTTGCTATTTACCCAGCACTACTCTGTGCCTGGTATGGGTGGTATAAGCTCTCCAGCCTTCAAGAACTTTCTGCCTGTTCAAGGAAGGCAGATGTACACATGTTAACAGTTAAAGGACAGTCCTGCTGTGTAGCAGTTAAAGTGCAAATGAGTAGCTGGGTAGAGCCGTGGGAGCTAGAGAAGGAAAGGAATGTTTTGGCGGGTCCAGTCTCAGAAATGTGGAGAGGGCAGGACATCTGGGTTCGATCAGTGTGGACCTGTGGTGGGGCTTCCTTTTGTTGGCATTAAGGAGCTTTCTGTGGGGGATGAGATAGGATACCCTCGGTGATTTGGGAAAATCAACGTGGTAGCAACAGTGAATGGAAGAGGCTGAAAAGGGGAGAACTGGCAGCAGGGAAAACCTTCAGGAGGTCCTTAAGGAGATGAAAATGATGCAGGTGATGGTGTTGGGAAGAAAAAGACAAGGCAGGTGTAAGAGGTTGTGTGTGTGTGTGTGTGTGTGTGTGTGTGTGTGTGTGTGTTTGAGACAGGGTCTCACTCTGCCCCCCAGGCTGGAGTGCAATGGCACAATCATGGCTCACAGCAGCCTCTATCTCCCAGGTTCAGGTGATTCTCGTACCTCAGCCTCCCAAGTAGCTTGGACTACAGGCACACGCCTCTCAGCCCAGCTAATTTTTTGTATTTTTTTGTAGAGTCAGGGTTTTGCCATGTTGCCCAGGCTGGTCTCAAGATCCTGGGCTCAAGCGATCTGTGCACCTTGGCCTCCCAAAGTGCTTTCTGGCTGGGTGCGGTGGCTCACACCTATAATCCCAGCACTTTGGGAGGCTGAGGCGGGCAGATCATCTGAGGTCAGGAGTTCGAAACTAGCCTGATCAACATGGAGAAACCCCGTTACTACTTAAAATACAAAATTAGCCGGGCGTGGTGGCACATGCCTGTAATCCCAGCTACTTGGGAGGCTGAGGCAGGAGAATCGCTTGAACCTGGGAGGCGGAGGTTGCGGTGAGCTGAGATCAAGCCATTGCACTCCAGCCTGGGCAATAAGAGCAAAACTTCATCACAAACAAACAAATTTAAAAAAACCACTATATACTAGGTGCTGTTCTGAATACTATATAGATGTTCCTTGATTTAAGATGAGGTTATATCCCGATAAATCCATCATAAATTGAAAATATCTTAAGTTGCTTGATTTAGAATATTTTCAATTTATGATAGGTTTATGAAATTGTAATCCCATCAAAAGTTGAGGAGTGTACTGAATGATTTCATGCCATTGTAAAGATAAAAAACCTTAAGTTGAGCTATAAGTCAGGAACTGTCTGTAAAAATCTGAACTCATTTGTGCCTCCTGAACTAAGCACTATTGTTATTCCTGTTTTACAGTTGAGGAAGCTGAGGCACAGTCAGGTTAAATAACATGCCCAAGGACATACACTAATAAATGGCCAAGTCAAAATTCACACCCAGGCAGGCCGCCTCCTGTGTCTCAGCTCTTAACCACCACTTCTTGCTGTATACAGTGAGACATTTAGAAGTAAAAGTCATAATGAATCCACACTTCGTCAAGCCTGAGTGACAGCAAATGTTAGTGCCATGGATAGATTAGAGGCATCAAATGAGAATATTAACTTGTGGGAAAGAGGATACATTTGATTTTCTATACATTTTCTTTAAAGCGACAAGGACACATATGAGTAGAATGTTCCATGGGAAATTAGAGTTATATAGGATAGAAACTTGGTAAAGACTTGAAAATTGGCAGATGAATAATAGCTGGAGTTTTGAGGGAAGATAAATTCCAAAGAATGATGATATGGTTTGGCTGTGTCCCCACCCAAATCTCGTCTTGAATTGTAGCTCCCATAATTCCCACGTGCAGTGAGAGGGACCAGGTAGAGATAATTGAATCATGGGGTCAGTTTCCTCCTTACTGTTCTCACGGTAGTGAATAAGTCTCATGAGAGCTGATGGTTTTATAAATGGGAGTTCCCCTGCACAAGCTCTCTTACCTGTCACCACGTAAGATGTGACTTCGCTCCTCATTTTCTTTCTGCCATGAGTGTGAGGCCTCATCAGCCATGTGGAACTGTGAGTCAATTAAACCTCTTTTCTTTATAAATTACCCAGTCTCAAGTATGTCTTTATTAGCAGCTTGAGAACAGACTAATACAAATGGCAAGTGTGAAGTTGAAGACTATGGAATTGCTAGTTCTTGGCTATTTTGACCAACAAAAATAGCGGTTTCATACGGATCAAGCAGGGCTCAAGATTGTGCTTCAGGGAAAAATGAGAGGTCAAGGTCAGGAGGGAGAGGGACTGCTTGGGAGACAGACATTAAACAGGGATTGGGGAAGATTTAGATCACACCCTTTTACATTATTCATTTTTAAATTACATTTTTGTTTATTTTTGAATAGGCAAGACCGACATATAGCTGATAATTCAAAAAGAGATTTTTATCCACCAGCGTTACCACCTGCAGACAACAGAATCCACTGTAGGGGTGAAGGGAATTTTTCTTCCCCCTGCTTCTGAAGGTTCAATAATTTGGGTCTGTAAAACAAATGGACAATAGACAGATTAATAGGAGAAAAGGCATATAAATTTATTTACATGCAAATGCACAGAAGCCATACAAAATATGAGACTCAAAGAAGAGCCAGATGACTGAAGTTCTTATACCATATGGAAAGAAATAGGAGCTTGGGGCTCCTGGGGATAGGTGGTAACAGGTTATGGGAGGGTGAAGGGAAGAAAGGCAAGTCAAGCAAAGCCTGTCTTACTATGCAGATGAAATCTCTCAGACAGTAGTCCTGAGAACAAAATAGATGGCAGCCTGTGGTAAAGGTTTCTCTGTCAGACCTTTAAAAGTATCAGGCTGGGCATGGTGGCTCACACCTGTAATCCCACTGCTTTGGGAGGCTGAGGTGGGAGGATTGCTTGAGGCCAGAGGTTCAAGACTAGCCTGGGCAACATAGCAAGACTCCATCTCTAAAACAATTAAAAGAAAATTAGCTGGGTTTGGTGCCATGTGCCTATAATCCAAGCTACTCAGGAGGCTGAGTTGGAAGGATGGCTTGAGCCTAGGAGTTCAAGGTTGCAGGGAGCCATGGTCATGCCCCTGCACTCTAGCCTGGGTGAGAAAGTGAGACCCTAACTAACATAAATAAATAAACAAAGATAAAAGTGTCAGACCACCAGTCTCATTTTCCTGTGAGTTACTCTTTCCTAGATATGGATAAGAGAACCTCAGAGAAAGCCTGTGCCTGCATCTCCTGTTTGCTTTACTAATGTAGATAGATGTAAATTTCTTTTACAGGAGGGTAGCTTTTTCAGAGCTATTCCCATCTGCAGCTTTTCCAAATAACCAACTTGAAATATGCCAAAGAAGTATATTTTGGGGTGGCATATTTTGGTTTCCCACACCACTCTAGCTAATTTAAGGAACTGGGATTTGCTAGAAATGCATCAAAATGTTGAAAGGGCTACAGGAATAAGCTATAGGCTGGGATTATAGCAACAACTTTCCAGCTCACACCACAGAACTAGAATGGCAAGGGAAATGTGGCTGCCTCTGACTTCTGTACGAGGCTTCCTTCATCCTGGTCAGGAAACCACCCTCACCCTCACCAAGCCCTGAATCACACCACCTCTGCCACAGTCGAGAAGCTGTTGTTGCCACCCCTCCAGAAATATGCTATTTCCAATTGCCTCAGCTTCAACACAATGGATGCCCAAATGCCCTGCCTGTTTCTTCACAGGTCATCTCTCAGCCTCACACTTGTGTCTGGTTGGCAGAGCCAAGTCCTGTGTGTGTAGCACATTGACAGGGGAAGCTGGGAAAGGTGTTTCCCAAGGCTGGGAAATATCTAAATGTGGAAAGGTGTTCAAAAATATGTGAGCAGGCCGGGCATGGTGGCTCATGCCTGTAATCCCAGCACTTTGGGAGGCCAAGGCGGGCAGATCACCTGAGGTTGGGAGTTCAAGACCAGCCTGGCCAACATGGAGAAACCCCATCTCTACTAAAAAATACAAAAATTAGCTGGGTGTGATGGCGGGCACCTGTAATCCCAGCTACTCAGGAGGCTAAGGTAGGGAGAATTGCTTGAACCTGGGAGGTGGAGATTGCAGTGAGCTGAGATTGTGCCACTGCACTCCAGCCTGGGTGACAGAGCAAGACTTGGTCTCAAAAAAAAAAAAAAAAAAAGAAAGAAAGAAAAAGAAAAATATGTAGCAGATCCAAGTGATAGATGTTCATAAAGAAATATTATTGAAAAATATTCTCAGCAAGGCACAGTGGCTCACACCTGTAATCCCAGCACTTTGGGAGGCCGAGGTGGGCAAATTACCTGAGGTCAGAAGTTCGAGACCAGCCTGATCAACATGGAGAAAACCCATCTCTACTAAAAATACAAAATTAGCTGGGAGTGGCAGTGCAAGGCTGTAATCCCAGCTACTCGGGGGGGCTTAGGTAGGAGAATCGCTTGAACCTGGGAGGCAGAGGTTGTGGTGAGCCGAGATCACGCCATTGCACTCCAGCCCGGGCAACAAGACCAAAACTCTGCCTCAAAAAAAAAAAAAAAAAAGAAAAAGAAAGAAAAATATTCTCACCCTTTGTGGGAGATCATTTTAGAAATGGCTGCCAATGAATCATGCCTCCTTGTGTTACATGCCCGTGTGTAGTGCTTTCCCATAATGACTCTGAGTATGGCCATGTGACTTGCTTTGGCCAATGGGGCATGTGATGTAAGCAGAGGCTTGAAAAGTGCTTGTGTGGTGGGATATGCCCTCTAGGAACTCTACCTCCATGTAATGCCCCAGTCAACACCAGCCCTAACTACCAGAAATGCAAACAAGGCCATCTTGGAGCATTCAACACCAGGTGATATAGCAGATGACTGAAACTGCATGAGTGACCCCAACTGCTCAGATGAAACTGGCCCAACTTGTTGACCCTCAACATTTTAAAATTAACCTTTTTATTTTGAGATAAATGTAGACAAATGTGCAGTTGTAAAAACTGACAGAGATCTTGTTTATCCTTTACCCAGTTTCCTTCAATGATATCATTATGCAAAACTGTAGTATAATATCTACAACAAGGATATTGCCATTGATACTGATAGCTCTTATGCCAATTTCTCCATTTTGACTTGTACTCACTTGTGCATATTTAGTTCTATGCAATTTTGTCACACATGTGTAAGTTTATGTATCCACTATCATACAGAATAGTGATATCGGTGATTTTTACAGTTTCTCTATTTTTGAAGAACTAGCTTTTGGTTTCACTGATTTTCTTTTATTTTCTTTTTTATTCTTCTTCTTATTTTTTTTTGAGACAGAGTCTCACACTGTCACCCAGGCTGGAGTATAGTAGTGCACATGTGGCTCACTGTAGCCTTGACCTCCTGAGGTCAAGTAATTCTCCCTCCTCCGCCTCTTAAAGTGCTGAGATTACAGGTGTGAGCCACTTTGCCCTGTCTGATTTCCTGTATTGTTTTCTTTTTCTCACATTTGTTGATTTCTGCTCTTATTTTTATTATTTCCTACTTTCTGCTTACTTTGGATCTATTTTGTTCTTCTTTTTCTAATTTCTTGAACTAAGAACTTAAATTTGAATTTGCTTTCCTAATTTCTAACGCAAGCATTTAGTGTTATAAATTTCCCACTCAGCACTACTTAAGCTACACCCTTCTTTAAAATGATGTATTTTTTCATTTTAATTCATTTCTGTGTGTCTCCCCTGCAACACTTTTAGACTTCACCTTTGACTCATGGGTTTAGAAGTTTGTTCATTTATTTAGAAGTGTGTTACTTAATTTCCAAGTGTTTGAAGACATTCCTGTTATATTCTGTTATTGATTTCTATTTTGATTCCATTATGATTGAAGAAAATCTCTGTATGATTTCAATTATTTTAAATTTATTGAGGTTTGTTTTATCATTCAGGTTATTGTCTATCTTGCCGAATGCTTTTTGGAGGCTTGTACAGAATGTATGTTCTACTATTGCTGGATAGAATATTCTATAAATATCAGTTAAATCTTGTTGATTGATGGTGTTGTTCATTTCTTCTATATATTTGCTAATTTTATGTCAAGTAGTTATATTAATTGCTGAGAGCAGGGTGCTGAATTTCCCAAACTATAATTGTGGAGTTCTGTTGTTTGGTGCATATACATTTAAGATTGCTTTGTCAGATTGATTGTTTCATAATTGTGTAATATGTTTTCTTTGCTTTGAAGTTCATTTTATATGATATCAATATAGTCACCCCTGTTTTTTGTTTATTTATTTATTTATTTATTTATTTATTTATTTATTTATTTAGAAATAGGGTCTCACTGTCACCCAGGCTGGATTGCGGTGGTGCAATTATAGCTCACTGTAGCCTTGAACTCCTGGGCCCAAACAACCTTCCACCTCAGCCTCCCTAGTAGCTAGGACTAACAGGCTTGTGCCACTATGCCCGGCTAATTGAAAAAATATATTTTTTAAGAGATGGGGTCTGGCTATATTGCCCAGGCTAGTCTCAAACTCCTGACCTCAAGTGATTCTCTCATCTTGGCCCCCCAAAGCACTGGGATTACAGGCACCACTCCCACTTTTTTACAGTGAGCCACTACTCCCATTTTTTTACAATTAATTAATGTTAGTGTAATATATATTTTTCCATTCCCTGAATTTAAACCTACCTGTTGTTATATTTGAAGTTAGTTTCTTTTAGACAGTATATAGTAGGGCCATGGTTTTTTGTTTTTTGTGGGAGGGGAGTATTCTGACAATATCTATACTGTAATTTGTGTATTTGGACTGTATACATTTAAAGTGATTAATGATATGTCAGGGCTTAAGTTTGCCATTTTAGTATTTCTTTAATCTGTTTTTTATTTGCCTTTCTAGGAGTTACTTGAACATTTTTGAGGGTGTCACCTTGGTGTTTTATTTATATGTGTTTGCATAAATCATTTTGTATAGTTTTTTTTAAGTTGTTGCTCTAGGTGTTAAAATATATACACATATTTTATTGCAGCATCCTATATTGACATTTTATCACTCAGTGACATACTGAAACACTACTTCCATTTAGGTCCCTTTACCTGTGTGTATGGGAGGAAAAAATAAACTGACTGCTTTCTCCTACTCTACTCTCATACTCAACACACTACACACTTCTGTGATCAGATACGAGAATGTTTTTCCTTATACCAAGCAATTCTCCAGCAGACACCGAGTGTGCTAAAATTTAACTCAATTCTGACACTATTTACCTAGAGATAGCATCAGATCCCGCAGGTTAAGGGCTCAGTCACACAACACTGACCCCAACTTCAGCACCAATCTCATGCCCCACATTGTCACCTATACTTCTAGCTATGAATTGGGATTTCCAAAACCCTCTCTCTAGGTTTGATAATTTGGCAGCATGGCTCACAGATCTCAAGGAAACACTTACATCTACTGGTTTATTATAAAGTATATGATAGACCGGGTGCGGTAGCTCACACCTGTAAATCCCAGCACTTTGGGAGGCTGAGATGCGTGATCACTTGAGGTCAGGAGTTTGAGACTAGCCTGGCCAACAAGATGAAAAAAAATACAAAAATTAGCCAGGCGTGGCGGTGCACGCCTGTAATCCCAGGTACTTGAGAGGCTGAGGCAGGACAATCGCTTGAACCCAGGAGGTGGAGGCTGCAGTGAGCTGGGATCATGCCACTGCACTCCAGCCTGGGTGACAGAGCGATACTCCATCTCAAAAAATAAAATAAAATAAAATTAAAGTATATGATAAAGAATACAGATCAACAGCCAGATAAGAGAATCATAGGGCGAAGTCTGTGGCAAGGGCTGCAGAGCTTCCCTGCCCGCTCTGGGTACATCATTTTCCTTGCCCCACCGTGTGTTCAGCAGCCCAGAAACTCTCTGAACCCTGTAGTTCAGGGATTTTTATGGAAGCTTCATCATGTCTACATGATCTACTATTAACCCAGTTTCCAGCTCCCCTCCCCTTCCCAGAGAATGGGAGGTGGGGCTGAAAGTTTCAAGCTTCTACTTATGGCTTGGTCTTTCTGGTCACCAGCCTCCACCTAGGAATCCACCAAGAGTTGCCTCAATAGAACAAAAGACCCTCCCATCCCCCAGGAAATTCCATGGTATTAGGAGCTCTGTGTCAGGACCTGGGCTTAAAGACCAAATATTACACTGCACTCCAGCCTGGGCGACAGAGTGAGACTCCATCTAAAAAAAAAAAAAAAAAAAAAAAAAAAAGACCAAATATTAGAACAAAAGATGCACTTGGCATGTCTTTTGCTCAGGACTTTACAATGGTTTTAGCAGCTCTGTGCGAGAAACTAGAGCCAGAGACAAATATGTATCTTTTATTACATCATGATATTGTAACCTGCCTCTCTTTTTAAGTATAATTACCTCAAGTATTTCCTCTGCATCTATTAAGCACCACAATAGATGTTGTATTTTTTGCCTCAGCTATCAAATATGAGTTAAGAAACTCATAAGGAGAAGAATAGTCTATTATATTTTCTTTTCTTTTTATCCCTTCTGTTGTTCTTTCTTTTCTGAACTTCCAGTCTTCTTTTGGCATTTCTTTTCTGTTTGGAGAGCTTCCTTTAGGCATTCTTTAAGGGTAGGACTGCTGGCCACACATTGTCTTATTTCTCCTTCATTCTTAAAATACAGTTTCACTGTATGTAGAATTCATGGTTGACAGTTCTTCTCTTTCAGCACTTGAAAAATGTTGAGCCACTTCATTCTGGCCTCCCTGGTTTCAGATGAAAAATCTGTTCTCATTCAAATTGGTATTTGCCTATAGATAATGCATTCCTCCTTGGTTGCTCTTAAGATTTTTTTCTTTCATCTTCAGAAGTTTAATTATAATGTGTTTTGGTGAGGATTTCTTTTGATCAGTCCTATTTCGGGTTCACTTAGCTTTGTGAATCTGTAGGTTTCTGTCTTTCACCAAATTTGGGAAGTTTTCAGCCCTTATGTTTTGAATACTTGTTTAGCCCTCAAATCTTTCTGGAGTCTTTCTGGGGCTCTGAATGTTAGGTCTTCTGTTATTGTCTCGTAGTTCCTTCCTTCCCTCCCATCCTCTACCTCATCCGTCTTCTCTCTGTTGATCAAATTGAATAAATTCAGTGGAATTGTCCTCAAGGTCAGTGACTTTATCTTTTGTCATCTCCACGCTACCGCTGAGCCCACCTGGTGAGTTTTTAAATTTTGTTGCTGCATGTTTCAATTCTGTGATTTCCATTTGGTTCTTTTTGTAACTTCTATTTATTTGCTGAGGTTTTCTATTTTTTCATGTTTCAAAGGATTTTATAACTGCTTACTGAAACTACATTATGGGAGTTGCTTTAAAATCTTTGCAGATAGTTCCACCATCTGATTCATCTCACTATCAATGTCAGCTGATTGCCTTTTCTCGCTCCAGTTGTGATTTTCCTGGTTCTTGGTATGACAAGTCATTTTCAATTGTATCCTGGACATTCTGCACATTATGTTACGAGACTCTTGATTCTGTATAAATCTTCTATTTTAGCAGGCAACCGCCCTGTTTAGGTTTATGGTGTCAGTTTTGCCTACTTTTGTGGGCTATAGTTTTAACGACAGTTGTGTTTTCTGAGCCTTCGCAGTGCTATTCTGGTCTGCTTTGCTCTTGGGGCTCTGCTTAAGCTCCTACTGGGTTGCTACATATGGTGCCTACAGAGGCAGAAGGCACTGCTCTAGGTTGACTGGTGTCATTATGTGGGTGTGGGGGATGCCCTAGATCGCCTTCTGCCTCTGCGTGAATGGCTGAAAGACACCAGACCTGCTGGCACTGCTTGTGCAAGTGAAGGAGCCTACCTGCTGTCACCTGGTGTGGAGCAGTAGATGACCTGGCCTGCATGGGTTTCACTGTTACCACTAATACGGGCAGATTGAGCCCCCTGCTGCTGGTGGAGATGGGATGTGAAGTGGGTTGGCCCGTTTGGATTCTTCTGTTGCCACTGCTGCAGGGATACTGGCCTGCTGCTGTCTGTGGCTGTGGAGTAGGGGAGTGGTTGGAAGCTCATTTCTGCTGGTGCTAGTGCTGTGAGCAGATTGGGTCCACCACTGCCACTGGGTGTGGCTCTCCTCACTGAGTTCTCCTTTCCTGGTCCCTTAGCCAGAGGGAGAAGACCCCTTCCCCCTTCCCCCTTCTTCCCCCTTCCTCCCCCTTCCCCCTTCCCCCTTCTTCCCCCTTCCCCCTTCCCCCTTCTTCCCCCTTCCCCCTTCCCCCTTCTTCCCCCTTCCCCCTTCTTCCCCCTTCCCTCCCCTCCCTTCCCTCTCTTTCTCTCTCCTATGCCTGTCTGTGGTTTCAGGCTGGCTGGTGTCCAGGATATATGGAAGATAAAGAAAATCCAGAAAACCAACTGTTGGGTTATTCTTCAAGTCCTGAGTCCCTAGTCCATCCATCTTCTTTCTGCCATTCAGAGTCCTTTTATGATTGCTGAATTCTTTCCGTGGTACTTGGTTGTGTTTAACAAGAAGCCAGAAAAAGTAAGTCTATAACATCTTCTCCTGAAACTGGAAGTTGCCTCAGGATTTTTACCACATGCTTGTTGGTTTAAGCCAGGGGTTCCCAACCTAGGTCTTCCAAATTCCAGCAGCTTCTTGTGTTTTGGTTGTGGGTCTAGAAGATGGTACCAAAGGGGAGAGGAAAAGCTGAACAGAAGTAAACCATGATTAAATCAAGTTTTTAAAAGTGCATGAATATGTGTGTGTGCACAATTTTCTTAAAATAATGAAGACCTTTAAATATATGGTGAAAAAGAGAGAGGAAAAAGGAGAGGGCTTGAGGATATGAGATAGTGGGAAAATAATGTGAAAATCAGGGCAGGGTTAGACATTTTTGCATACCGGGATTCTAACTAGAGCAACGGACAATTGCGCACCTGACATCCTAATGGTCCTCATGCCTTCTAGAGAAACAATGTAACAATAATTAATCAGGATCCCAGGAGGAGCTTGTAAGGGCAACCAGAAAAGTCCCACAGTTTGAATACACATTAATTACATCCTGGTGAAATAATATGTGCTTAAGGCATCTGACATTCAGCTGCAAATGCTGAAGGAAGAGGAGAAAATAACAAAGAGAGCAGGAATGCTAAACTGTGTGCCTTCGTCAGTGCACTGCCTACTGAGACAGCAGATGGAAAGGATTCACTTGGGAGGATTTGGAGAACTCTTGGTTCGGTTGCTGGTAAAACTGCTATCTCTGATGCACAGCTTTCGGGGATTTAAGAAAAAGGCAATGAGAGAATAAGGCCTTCGGGTGTTAAACAAGCAAACAGGCCTGGTCTGGTCCACAAGCATATTTGCAGAGAGAATCATCTATCCCAAAGGGGCCATCATTCAGATGGCCTTAATATGTTCTTTCTCTGACTGTGACCTTGCTCATGAGGACTGAGTTCTCAGATACACAGGGAGGGTGATTTTCCACTAGAGAAAGAAAGCAAAGTGAGAGAGAGCCATGTACTGTGAAGTGACCTGACAGAATGAGAATTGAGAGGGGAAAAGGAATAAACAAGTATTTTGAGACAAATTGCATATGCCTATAATCCCAGCACTGTGGGAGACCAAAGCAGGAAGATTACTTTTGAGACCAGGAGTTCAAGACCAGCCAAGGCAACAAAGCAGACCCTATCTCTCTCTCTCTCTCTAAAAAAAAAAAAAAAAAAAAAAAAAAAAAAAATTAGCAGGGCGTGGTAGCATGCACTTGTGGTCCCAGCTACTTGGGAGGCTGAGGCAGGAGGATTGCTTGGACCTGAGATCAAGGCTGTAGTGAGCTATGATCACGCCACTGCACTCCAGTCTGGGTAACAGAGTGAGACCTTGTCTCTAAATAAATAGTTTGAAAATTTCATACATAGAAAAGTGGAAAGAATAGTGAACCTTCATATACTCATCATCTGGATGTGATAACTTGTTAACATTTTGTCATATCTGCTTTATCTTGTTTCTGTTGAAATATATTTAAAGTAATTTACAGATGTTAAGATATTTTAGTTTAAATATTTCAATATATATTTCTAAGAAATAAGGATATTTTCTCACAAAACCACAATGCTTTTATCACATATTTATGATATCTTTCACTCTAAATTTTAAATTTGGCCAGGTGCAGTGGCTCAGACCTATAATCCCAACACTTGGGAGGCTGAGGCAGGAGAATCACTTGAGTCCAGGAGTTCAAGACCAGCCTGAGCAACACCGTGAGACCCTGATCTATTTAAAAAAATAAGTTTAAAATTTTTATGTAGTTAAAACTGTTAATCAGGCACGGTGGCTCACACTTGTGTAACCCCAGCACGTTGGGAGGCCGAGGCGGGTGGATCACCTGAGGTCAGGAGTTCAAAACCAGCCTGACCAATATGATGAAACCCTGTCTCTACTTAAAAAAAAAAAACAAAAAATGCAAAAATTAGCCAGATGTGGTGGTATGCGCCTGTAATCCCGGCTACTCAGGAGGCTGAGACAGGAGACTCAATTGAACCCGGGAGGCAGAAGTTGCAGTGAGCTGAGATCTTGCCACTGCACTCCAGCCTGGGCAGCAAGAGTGAAACTCTGTCTCAAAAAACAAAAAACTGTCAATCTTTTATTATTTCGCATTGCTATCGGTTTTAGGAAGGCCTTTCTCATGCAGGACTGTAAAAACACTTAGGTATATTGTCATCTGTAACTCTTATAGTGTTATTTTTTACATTTAGATCCTTAATCCATCTGAAGTTTTTTCTCTGTGTATAATGTGAGGTAGGGATCTCACCATTTATTGGATATTTAGGTAATTCATCCTTTACCAGCACTTAAAAATGTTAGCCATAAATTTCCATAAATTTGAACACCTATCTTATTCTCTTGCTTAAAATCCTTAAATCACTTCACATTGTTCTTAGAATAAAATTCAAATTCCTTCCCTTGGCCTAAAAAACCATAGCCTGCTTCTGAAATTCATCTACCCCTCTGCCTCTGAGGGTTGTCCTCCAGCCACATGGGACTCCCTCTATCCAGACACTTCAGCTCATCCCAGGCTGAGTTTGCACTAACTTTGCACATATTGTTCCCTCTGACTGGATGCTCCAGCCATTGTCTGCCTGGCCCTGTGACTCCTGCAGCTGAAAGCTCAAATGCCACTTCTTCAGAGTCTTCCTCACACCAGTCTGTCCAGAGTGGCCACCCCAGGCACTACCATGTCATTCTTTATTATCCCAGGGTGCTTCTCACTATTTGAAATGGACTTGCTTTTGTCCATCACCCCTCACTAGCAGGAGATCTTCCAGGTCTGGTTCACTGCTGCGGCCCTAGCTGTAGTGGAGATTTGGTCGCAGTCCTGGGATGACTACATCTAATCTGTGCTTTCCCATAGATTACATAGCACAAGCCTATATAAATATTTACAATTTAAAAGTGGATTAAATGAACAAAATTAAATTTATAATAGTGCATGTGACATACAGGTAAGTAAAAAAGTATAAAAGTGGTGTACCCAAAAATGACTAAAGCTTGGAATTCAGTAGGATGAATTACTGAGTCAAAGATATCCTCTAGGCCAGGTGCAGTGGCTCACGCCTGTAATCCTAGCACTTTGGGAGGCAGAGGCGGGTGGATCACCTGAGGTCGGGAGTTCGAGACCAGCCTGGCCAACATGGGGAAACCCCATCTCTACTAAAACTACAAAAAATCAGCTGGGCATGGTGGTGGGCACCTGTAATCCCAGCTACTCAGGATGCTGAGGCAGGAAAATCACTTGAACCTGGGAGGTGGAGGTTGCAGTAAGCCAAGATTGCGCCACTGCACTCCAGCCTGGGCGACAGAACGAAACTCCATCTCAAAAAAAAAAAAAAAATCCTTTTATAATTTTGATAGAGGTTGCCATATTCTACTGAGAAAAGCTATAGCAATTTACATTCCCACTGAGAGTCAATCGGAGCATTTTTCTCTCCGCATCGTGGCCAGCACTAGATTCCTTTTAACTTTTTACAGCCCTACAAAATGTAAGAATCAAGAAACAAAACGCAAAAACAAAGAATATCTCATTGGTGTTCAAAGTTGTAGTTCCTTATGTTTGAGTGTAGTGGCACGTGATTTCATGATCATTTTACATATATATATATATTCTATATATATTCTTAACCACCTGTTCATGTCTTTTGTCAATGCTTCCATTCGGTTGTTTTTCTAATAATTTGTACAACTTGTTTCTTGAAAAAGTTCCTCTGTTAGACGTGTTCTAAGTATTTTTCCTAGTTCTGATCTTGCGTATGGCTAGGCAGTTATTTTTATCAAATTTGTCCTTTATGGTTTTTAGGTTTTGTGTCAGTCTTAGAAAAATCTTCCCTGTTCCAATATATCTCTATATAGATATCTCTATTTAGGTATCCATATCACCTGTGTTTTATTCTAGCATTTTTGTTATTTTATTTTTTTGAGTGTTTAATCCATCTAATATTCATTTTGATATGAGAAATAAGATGGGGAATCCAGCCTTTTTCACTCTCCCTCCCCCAGTGTGGGGAGCCAGTGAATAAGAGCAGTTGCTAAAACCTCCACCTTTCCCTTATGGGTTTGCAATGCCACCTTCGCCATATACTCAATTTCCATAGGCATTTATATCTATTTATGGACTGTACTCTTTTCTTTTGTCTATGCCTTTTTTGCTGCTTTAATTACTATAGAATTAAAAATGTTTTCACATTTGAGAAGGCTAGTTCCTTCTTTTAAATTTTTTGGCTATTCATGCATGTTTAGCTTTTTAAAAGAATTTGCATTGTGGCTGCAGGGTAAAGAGAGGCAAAGGTACATATGGATTGACCAGATGGAAGTTTCTTGCAGTATTCCAGAAGAGCAATGGTGGGACACTAATGGGATATGATGGATCACCTATCCCACTTGATGTGGTTTGGCTGTGTATCCACTCAAATCTCATCTTGAATTGTAGCTCCCATAATTCCCATGTGTCATGGGAGGAACCAGGTGGGAGGTAATTGAATCATGGGGGTGGGTCTTTCTCATGCTGTTCTCATGATAGTGTTAAATAAGTCTTGCAAGATCTGATGGGTTTATAAAGGGGAGTTCCTACACAAGCTCTCTTGCCTGCCGCCATGTAAGACGTGACTTTGCTTCTCATTTGTTTTCGGCCATGATTGTGAGGCCTCCTCAGCCATGTGGAATTGTGAGTCAATTAAACATCTTTCCTGCATAAATTACCCAGTCTTGGGTATGTCTTTATAAGCAGCATAAGAACAGATTAATACACCACTGAATTCCAAACCTTAGTCATTTTCAGGTATACCACTTTTATACATTTGGACATATATGTTACCTGCACTATTATTAATTTTTAAATTAATTCAGTCCAGTTTTAAATTTCAAATACTAATATTAGGCTTGTCCTATGCAATACATCTGAAAGCATGGACTAGATGTGGTAGTTCTATTTTTCTAACATATTAAACTGAATAGATTACCAATTAAAATAAACATTGTTTTTCCATGTAGTATCTAAAATTATTTGTGCTACTAGCAGTTTGAGAAACACTGGTCACAGCAAACTGTTCTCATCGGTTCTCTACTTAAAAGGGGGCCTGGGCTGGTGGGTAATATCTGTTGCTTGATCAGGATGCTGGCTACACAGGCAGGGTGTTTGTGAAAATCATCAAGGTGTTCACTTGTATGATATATGTATGTTTCTGTGTAATCATTATTATCCAATAAAAAGTGTTAAAAGCTTTAAAAAGTTTAAAAAGCTGGCCGGGCACAGTGGCTCACACATGTAATCCTAGCACTTTGGGAGGCTGATGTGGGAGGATTGCTTGAGGTCAAGAGTTCAAGATCAACCTGGCCAACACAGCAAGATCCCATCTCTATTTTTTCAAATAAATTATTTTAAAATAAAAAAGCATGGCTCTATTGTTTTGTGCTAATTACTGGTAATAAGATCTGTTACATGGGCCTTTACATAGGTTATGCAAAGAAATAGACTAATGAAATGAGTAATAGCACATGAATTTAAGACATCGGTAGGAGTTCTCTTCTTAAGGGTTGTGATGTTTCTGCGCTCTTAGTTCTGATGTCTCACAAAGACCTGAAAAGAGCCACAGATGATATCACAGGCCAGTCATAACATGCATGAGATGGTATAATGTTGGTGAATTTATCTGTGGGGCAGAATTAGACAATAATGCCAAAGGCCAAAGCCTCAATATCCTTATCTGTTAGCCTTTATTAAAGATTCACAGAGATAAATGGAAAATGCCATCCTAACCTCACAGAGATCAAATTAAGCAGTGAGTTTGCAGGGAATCAAATATCTTGTATTGACCTGTCACAAACACTTATTCAGATGCAAGTAAACACACACCACACTCTTTTTAAACCTGAGGTGATTCTGACTTTGAGACTTCTAAACTCTCTACTTTTGGGCTATCCTCTCACCGGGCACTCTTGGCACACATATTTAAATAAAGGTTATGAAATGTTTGACACTAAAATCTCATTGCCAAATAGAAGCTGCTGCTTTCCAACATGAAGATTCAAATAACTCGTATTTTTTGTCCTTTTAAAAACAACATAAAATAATCCAGTTTCCTTCTGTGGGTAGCCATGGAGACGAACCGCAAACATTGCAGTGACTGAGTCATACTAAAAATGATAGCGTTCTTCAAGGACATCTATTAATATGCCTCTCATTAAAAAAACAATAAAGCTAGCTACCTTAAAATTTAATTGCCAGGTTTTCAATTATAAGTCCCCCTGGCTTCACGATTATTTGGGGGCCAGTTGAATAGGAAACGCCCATGGAGAAAGAAGCAGACGATTGCTTGTCAGAGGAAAACCTGAAGTCTTGTTTTCTCCAGTGTCTCTCAAGGACCTGTTCATTTCCTATTTCTATCATCTGGGTCTCCTTCCAGGAGGTGCCTCTACACTTCAATCTGGAACACTGTTTCTTACACCTAATCTCCCCAGCACTGGAAGCCTGAGTGTGAGTGTGTCATTCCTAACCTTTAAAAGGCTTCTCTCTCCATCCAAGAGTCCCTGGGATACCTTCCTGAGATGGCACACTCACTCTCAATGTATACTTTAAGGCTGACCCGTTTGCATAATCCGCTTTCTGGAAAGCTTTTGGAATCTTAGGCCAATTAAATTTCACCTCAAGTGTCTCAAAATCTAGTTGCTCAGGGCTGCCAGCTTCTTTTGTTGTTCCCCCCAACCCAAAGGCAATATAACCCTTTCTGCCAATGCAATTTGTTGAAAGCACTGCTGCGATAGGGATTAGCATGAGGCTTCCAATTGCAGCTTGAGATCCCGGTGCCAGGTGATGTAATTCTACCAACTGAGTCTCAAATGGGGGTTCAGGACACGACCCGCAGAGCGGAGCATCTGCCAGTGCAAACCTGCACTGGCTATTTAAAGAGCTCCCTGGTGAGGAAGGGCTCATGCCTGGAGGACAGGGACAAGGTGGCCAAGAAGTCCTGCTCTGGGCAAGCCTTTGCAAATGGAGCTCAGGGTGTTGGAGGCAAGGACAGGGCAGGGGTGAGGGGCCAAGCGTTCACAAGGTGACAGAGGGTGCAGGCAGGCAGAAGACAAGAGAAAGTAGGGCCCCACCTGGGCAAAGGATTATTTATTCTCTTCAAACACAACTTGACAAGGCCACGTGGCATCAGCCTAGCGTAGCATAATTGTGCTTACATATACTGTGGTGGGTGGTGCACATTTGTTACCTTCTCACCTTTCACGTTTGCAATCTGATAAAAGACAAGAGATTTTAAAAAGAATTGTGAATTTTCGCTGTTATTTTAGATTGTCCAAATGTTCCTTCCACACCCAGTTAGTATGATAAAACATGGATTTCTAGCTTTGGAGAGGAGGCAAGGGTGTGATCAAGATGTGATATACTTTTCTCAACTGTATTTCAATCTTTATATTATTTTAGGACATGTATTCTCAATGACATGGTCTCAGTTTTACAACTTGATATAATTCCTTATACCTGATTCGGTGTAGAGCTTTGTATCCTTCTAAAACCTCATCTCACAGAAGCATGTTCTCTCAGGGTGAATTCTCCCAGAAGTAGACTCTGAGTCAAGGATTCAGATATAAGAGGTTTATTAAGGAAAGGCTCCCAGAGACACCAGTAAATAAATGGGAGGGTAGGGAAAGGGATTAAGCCCAGCAAGGGTGTGATTTCATGTAATGTCCCAGCCTCAGGCCGATCTAGAGGAAAGGGAGTGCTAGAGCATAAATTACTCCTCAGAGAATGTCCTTCCTTGAGGCAAGGGAGCTGGGCTTTTGACTCGTAGCCCAGTCAGTCAGCGGCCTTGGCCAAGAGGACGGAGAACTCCCAGACCCTGCTGGCTCTCCATATGGGCTGACTGGCTCCAATACCAGGTCACAGGTGCCAGCCTTTAACCTCAAAGCACTTAATTGGGATTGGGCACACAGAGCTGGCCAGAGACCCTAGGGGATCTGGGTGGCCACCAACACTGCTGGTCATGGCACAGCACCTCCATTACTACCCTGCACACTGCCCGGCACCAGTTACAGGTCTTTCATTACATTCTGCTGCAAGAGGAAATGAGTAATATCCTTTGACAGTCCTGGGTTTGGCTTTTCATCATCCAAAGATGTACTTCCTTCCTCCAGTGGGTAGAAGTGGGTGTCCCTGGAATGCCTCTGTAAGACGGAGCAGCCGTCCCGGTTGAAGATCACCCGGGCCATTTGAAAACTGCGGAGGGCATACTTTTGGCTCTCCTGGCCTCTTAGTTGAGTGATTTTCTGAGACAGGCACTTGCAGACAGATGCAGAGAGTGAGTTTGCAGAGCCTGGCTGTGGATGACCAAACATTTCATAGAATCTATCCAGGGATTTCCGAAGGCCATCATCCTCTTCCTTCTCTGACTGGCCTTTCACAGCAGGGTCAAGCCAGAAGTTCTCAGCGGTCCAGGAGTTATTTTGTTCTATATTTAAGTTACTGGTGTCTGCAAGACAAAACGTATTCCAATACTCAAACACACAATCAAAAATATCAGAAAGCAAGCCAAGAGCAGATGATGTCTATTTTCAGTTCAACATGCTTACTGTTCCTGAGTAACTGGCAATGGGAAATATCAGCTGATTTCAAAATCTGTTCTCACCATCCTGAGGTTATGCCACTTGCTTGCTCACAACGAGAACATATTACTTGTGTGGACCAAGGATTCTTAGCCCGATGTCCCTGTATAGAAATTCAGGGTGCCTGTGAACTTGGATGTAAAAAATATACATATATATTTATTTATTTTCACTAACCACAACCTGAAATTAAGCATTTCCTCCCATGATGAATGTAGGCAGCAAACCACAGTATTAATAGCAGTACCTGTAACTTTGTCACCAATAGATCTCAGCTGTTACAGGAAAAACTTGGGACTGTAGTACCCACCCCCAAACTGGGAAGGTGCTGAAAGACCAAAGAATAACTTGGACAAGTCCAGCTTGATGAGTAGTTGAGTTTATTAGGGCTTATAACAGGGCACTCCTGGATGGCAGCAGGATAGCTCTAGAGATCCGTGCGTGTGCACGATGGGACTGTTTTCCTTGGTAGGTTCTCAGATTCTCTCCGGGATGTCTGGGTTCTCAAGGACACCTACTCCTCAGCTGGGCACCATGGCCTTGGCTCACTGCTCAGCCTTCAGGGTTCAAGCAGCAGACATACACTCTTAAGTCACCTGGTGGGGGACCCACTACACACTACAACAACTATTTTCATATCATATTATAGTATGTTGAAGGTGTTTTAAATTTTTACGCTATCACTATGCTATGGACTGAATTGTGTCCGCAAAAAATTCACGTGTTGAAGCTGTAACCCCCAACATGACTATATTTGGAGAGAGGGCTTTTTAGGAGGTAATTAAAGTTAAATGAGGTCTATAGGTAGAATCCTAATCTGAAAGGATCCTTATAAGAGGAGGAAGAGAAAAGGAGATCTCTTTTTTCTTTCTCTTTGCAAGCACTAAGGAAAAGCCATGTGAGCACACAGTGAGAAGGCGGCTGTCTACAAGCCAGGAAAGGAGCCCTCACCAGAAGCTGACCAGGCAGGCACCCTGCTCTTGGACCTCCACGCCTGACCCTGATATAAGCTTTTATAAATCACTAGCTTTGACATTTCCCTGCCCCTACGAACTCAATCAGTAGCTACAATAAACATATCTGTACTTGCCAATGCTGAAGTAAGGTGCATGGTACAGTGGGTGGAGCTTTAGGAAAGGAGGTAGGATTTTGGTTTGGGCCCTAGTTTTGCTACTAGCTGGAAATGACATCTTGGACAAGTCATACAACCTTTCTGGGCTTCAACTTTCTCAACTTTAAAATGAGGGTTTTACTAAACAATCTCTCTTCTAGAATGTCTATGGTAATGTAAAGATCAGAGAAATAGATTATCCGGAAGTTATCAGCACATTCTAAAAGAATATGGACATGTGTTCTTTGAGTCACACGCAGGCCTACACATGGACAAGCATTCATCCATTCAACACTTATTTATAGAAAGCTGATATTAAGGCAACTCATTACAAGTTGTTGAAGATAGACAGATGGATGCTGAAGATCATGTCCCTCATCTGAGGTACTTGGAATCTAAGTAGGAAGAAGAGACATCGTTACAGACATTAAACAACTGAAATATAGTCACAGGATGTACATAGATATGAAATGATGTAGTGACATTAACTGGGACACTGTGGACTCTGTGGAAACATGCAGTGCCAGGGTAGCAGAATGAGTGCATGCTCCCTCTTCAGAGGAGGTGACCTGCAATCTTATTCTGAAAGGACCACGCAATGGAGAAGCAGAGTTGATGAACAAAAGGCCAGTGGCAAGAAGAAATAGAAACTAAATGTCTCCTTGGCTGGTTCCAGTTCTCCTCCTCTGCCAACTGGCCTTTCTTCAGCAGCCTGAGACCCAGCCTGGAGGCTCAAGGAGAGAGAGAACTCAGAATGGCCAGGGGGCACCCAAAACAGAGAACACGCTTTGTAAAAAATTCGATAGCAGGGATGGTATTTCCACTACACTAGTTTCCAGAAAGCTTAAAGCTATGTCCCAGGCCCGTCTTTTTTTTTTTTTTTTTTTTTTTTTTTTTTTTTTTAAAGAATAGTAAAGAAACTTTCCTTGACCTTGCTATGCCCAGAGCTTTTACCCAAGTTCTTCCCAAGAACACTATCACTGGACTGAAGCCTCCAGGATGGGTGGAAGGGGAGGGAGACAGATGCTGGTCTCTTTCTTGTTCTGATGGCATAGAAGCAGCAGGAGAGGAGTTCTTGGCCTGTACTCTTCAGAAGTGCCAGGTTTGTGAAAACCAAGGAAGGACTGAGCTACTGTCCCAGAATGAAGGAGGCTAAAACAGCCATGACAGCCAAATGCAAAAAAAAACTTTTTTTAAACTTCATCTTTTCATTGTAAAGCACATTACTGGGGCAACTGGAGAGCTGTGAATGGGGTCTGAGGATTAGATGGTAGTAATGCATCACTGTTAATTTCTTGATTTTGATGATTTTATTGTTTTAGAAGAGAATGTCCTTGTTTGTAGAAAAATCAGGATTGGTGGCCTGATTTTTTGTGAGCAAATCTCAAATAATTCATAAAAAAGGGCTCTTTGTTTTAAAAAATTGTTGTAAAAAAATTAAAACAAACCTCTGGGGGGATAGATGTAAAAACTTCCTTTGCTGGCCTACTTTAATATCAAGCAACCAAATAAGAAGCCTTAGCTTGGGTAATTGCCTAACAAATGATGCTGCTGTTAGAAAGCTGAAGGGAGAAGGAGAGGGAATGGGGTCCCGTGATGGCAGGATGAAGGGTCCCTTCCTACCTTCTTACCCGCAGATGACCTTGTCCTGGGTAGGGGTTGGGAGGTGGTGGCTGGAAGACAGAAGCTGGGAAGGGCCAATGGGGTGGGTGGGAGAGAGCGGGGGATGCCCACCAACAACACTGGGAAAGTTGAACCCTCAAAACTGTCCACGTACAATAGAAAACGCCAAGCAACATGGCACGTACTTGGTAAGTAAATTGTCAATGTGCTTTGATATGCAGGATTTAAAATTTTCATCTGTGTTTCATTTAATTTAAAAATTTTGAAATCCAGTGTCCACAAAAGAGGCTAAAAGCTAGCTGTCTCCTATACTTTTCATGCACATGTCAGGCAGTCTGCCAGTCGTCTTCAGAGAAACAACCCTTCCCCTTCAGAAGACCAATGACATACGGGTTGAGTCATTTACTATGTCAGTTATTTTGAATGCTGCCTGCAGTCCATTTCAGTTTTTGATTTCCTTTTAAAATTTGCTTTACTACCAACTATAAAGCCTCCTCTCTAATCATAAGGCTGTTGTAGCTTTTGGATGTCACCATTTCTTTGCCAGCAAATGTAGCTAATTGCTTTTCCTTTCCTGATGTGTCCATGTGTGGAAAGAATGATGGTACTAGTCAGTTCGTGCTCAGTGATGCATCCTCCCAGTTACGTTCAAACCCCACCTTATTCTCTCTGTTGGTATATTCCAACCTTGTAGAGCTGTCAAAGGGGGATAGCAACGTCTTCAGGGAGAGTCTAGGGATGTTTTTGTGTCAGGGATTGCAAAGTGCTACTTGCATTTAGTGAGTGGGGTCAAGGATGTAAACATTCTACAGTGCACAGGACAAACAAAGAATGGTCCATCTCCCAAATACCAATAATGTCCCCCTGCCCCTCACCCCTCCCCTGGGTCAAAGGATGGATCTTGAAAGGAGTGGGAACTCAATGTTGACTCCCGCTGCACTGTAATATGTTGATTTGCCTTGAGCTCCCTAAGAGACTTTTGCTGTTGGTCCCCATTCCCTGCACAGCACCCTTCTTGCTGGTACCTATTCGAGTTACACATTTTCCCTTCTCAGACCATGAGATGGCTTTTTTACCCCACAACAATGGTTGAGGGGGAAAACCATTGGCCCTGGTCCCAGTGATTCTGGTATTATTTAAATTGAATGGAACTTGCCTTTTTATATATTTTCCATCATGAATAGGATTTCTTTAGAAATTTACAAGAAGAAAAGGAGGAGGGCAGGGCTTGATATCACAATGCTTTTGCATGCATCCAATTGTTAAATTTTCTCTTTGCCAACAAGAAAAGAGATAACATATAGATACTTCAGATTCCTTTTGAGGTGAAGTCTTACTCTGTCACCCAAGCTGGAGTGCAGTGGCATGATCTCAACTCACTGCAGCCTCCACCTCCTGGGCTCAAATGATCCTCTCACCTCAGCCACCCGAGTAGCTGGGACCACAGGTGTGTGCCACCATGCCTGGCTAATTTTTTGTATTTTTGGTAGAGATGGGGTTTTGCCATGTTGGCCAGGCTGGTCTCGAACTCCTGGCCTCAAGTGATTTGCTCACCTTGGCCTTCCAAAGTGCTAGGATTATAGGCATGAGCCACCACGCTCAGCCTGATACTTGAGATTGTTATACACCTAAAAATATTTTTATATATTTAGGAGTTGTAGGTGCTTATTTGAATTCAGAAGACAGTCAACTGGCATGGAGCACTTGAGATTAATAGTTGTGTTCTGCAAGAGATGCCATTAGCCTTTAGAAACCCAGATATCTAATGAGGGATTCTTCCAGAGAACTTTCCATGGCTATTTCTGTGGTTCATAAATGCACAGCAGGGTTTCATCTCCGTGAAACATTTTTGCCTTCAACTGTAACAAGTTTCTACTAAATAGATTTGATATTTAGAATTCTGCCTTCTGCATGCATCTGAATCAATAGCCACCCACCCACCCTGCTTGATTGTCCAGAGTTTCTTTTACTAGCAATTGCTGATTAAGAGGACCTATGTATGGTTTCAAGGAGGTTACAGAGCTGAAAGAAATCTAAGACTTTTTTTTTTTTTTTTTTGAGATGGAGTCTCACTCTGTCGCCCAGGCTGGAGTGCAGTGGCGCGATCTTGGCTCACTGCAACCTCTGCCTCCGGGGTTCAAGTGATTCTCCTGCCTCAGCCTCCTGGCTAGCTGGCACTACAGGCACCCGCCACCATGCCCGGCTAATTTTTTGTATTTTCAGTAGAGACGGGGTTTCACCGTGTTAGCCGGGATGGTCTCGATCTCCTGACCTCGTGATCCACCTGCCTTGGCCTCCCAAAGTGTTAGAATTACAGGCGTGAGCCAGGGCACCTGGTTTTTTTTTTAGACAGGGTTTTGCTCTGTTGTCCCCAGGTTGGAGTGCCATGGCGCAACACAGCTCACTGCCTGAGCCCACCTTCTGGGCTCAGGCGATCCTCCCACCTCAGTCCTGAGTAGCTGGGTCTACAGGTGCATGCCACCAGGTCCGGCTAACTTTTTTCTATTTTTTGTAGAGACGGGGTTTCACCACGTTGCCCAGGCTGATCTCAAACTCCTTAGCTCAAGTAATCTGCCCGCCTCGGCCTCCCAAAGTGCTGAGATTATAGGTGTGAGACACAGCACCTGACCAAGACTTAAGTTTTTAAAAATGAAAAAGTATCAGGATTTAAGGAAAGAAGGAGTATGTGGCTTATTAGGTTTCCTTCTATGCTGCTTGGATGGGAAGCTGTCCCTTTTTCAGGGCCCTGCATGGCACACTCCTAAGTTCCCAGGCCCCGCTTCCTTGGTTGGTCTGTTGGAGGCTCCCTGGGCTTGTGTGGCTCTAAAAATAGTCATGGGTCCCCTTTTAAACTAATGTTCATAATGGACTTATATGTTTAAAACATTTTAATTTGGCCGGGTGTGGTGGCTCAGCACCTTGGGAGGCCAAGGCGGGTGGATCACCTGAGCTCAGGAGTTAGAGACCAGCCTGGCCAACATGGCGAAACCCCGTCTCTACTAAAAACACAAAAATTGGCTGGGCATGGTGGTGGGCACCTGCAGTCCCAGCTACTCGGGAGGCAAGAGAATCACTTGAACCCGGGAGGCAGAGGTTGCAGTGAGCCGAGATTGCACCACTGCACTCCAGCCTGGGCGACAGAGTGAGACTCTGTTTCAACAAAACAAAACAAAACAAAATAGAAACAAAAACAAACAAACAAAACCTTTAATTTACAAATTAAATTGCAAATGGGAACATAAGATTTAGTTTAGACTTAGGTGAGTAGCAATACCAGTAAACTTAAATTACGTAACTTTTTGCAACCACAAATCCTGTAATGTGCTGTACAGTAACAAGTGTTGGCATTATCAGTTGAACTGCAAATATAAAATGCTTCTTCCAATTAAAAAATAAAATTAAAAGAAAATTTTTTTTAAAGTCACAGGCATGAAAATGACAAGGTGAACCAGGGAGTAGTGGGGGATGTTCCGGTCATCAATGATCACTTATCAGCAACTCTTGATGCACTATTCATCTTATGACAGAAGTCAGACTTCAGAAGCCTCACCATGCCCTGGATAAGGTGCCTCCATGTGTGATACTATCATTTTTAGTATATGAGGGGCCATGGGCCATGGATCTGGGCTAGTCTGCATCTTCCTGCTCCACGCCTCACTTTTTTCTCCTTCATTCCTTCTTCTACCCCCTCACTACTGCCACCCATTCCATGCTCCATGGAGGAAAGGAGGAGGGAACAGAATCATTGGGTGAACAAGATTCAGTCCCACCTCCAGCCCAGCCCTATGGGCTGCATGAGAGTCTGACTAGCACCTACCACTCTGTCTGTTTCACTGCCTCCTTCATAAATCTGGCTTCTTTCCTGAGCCTTGAAACAAACTTCTCTTTAGAATCTTTGCACTTGCTGTTGCTCTGCCATCGAACATGCTTGCTCCACATATCACGTCCTCTAGGTCTCTGCTCAGACGTTAATCAGTGAGGCCTTCTCAGTCAGAATGGGCCAGGTTATGCTGCCTAACAAGCAAGCCCCAAATATCCAGGGCATGAAACAGCAAAGGGTTAATTCTCATTACCCAGAGATCTGTGTCATACTACAAGTATACACATATACAAGTAGATCTGTTCATCCTCACCCTCACTCCAGAACCCAGACCAACAGAGCAGCTACTATCTCAACATTGCCTAGTGACTATAGCAGAGGAAAAAGAGTATGGGGAAATCAGCAGTGACTGGGACAGCTCTATTACTTCTGTTCATATTTCACTGGCTAACGTGAAGTCATATGGCCAAGCCTGATTTCAAAAGGATGAGGATGAAAGAATATCCTGTAGGGAGAGGCAGAGAATATTGGTGAACAATAATTCAGTTTACCATACATTTCCTGGGCACACTATTTCAAATTGCATTTCTCATATTCACATTAGCCAAGAGTTAGAAGCAACCCAGCTATCAACAGATAAATGGATAAATAAAATGTGGTTGGCAGGCCAGGTGCGGCGGCTCATGTCTATAATCCCAGCACTTTGGGGGGCCAAGGAAAGTGGATCTCTTGAGCCCAGGAGTTCAAGACCAGCCTGGGCAACATGATGAAACCCTGTATCTACTAAAAATACAAAAATTAGCCAGGCGTGGTGACATGCACCTGTAGTCCCAGCTACTCGGGTGGCTGAGGCACAAGAATCTCTTGAACGCGGGAGGTGGAGGTTGCCATGAGCCAAGATCATCCCACTGTACTCCAGTCTAGGTGACAGAGCGAGACTCTGTCTCAAAAATAAAACAAAATAAAACAAAATGTGTTAGTATGTGCACACAATGAAATATTATTCAGCCTTAAAAAGAAAGGACACTGTGACACACGCTACAACATGAACGAACCCTGAGGACATTATGCTAAGTGAAATAAGCCAGCCACAATAGGAAAAATACTGTATGATTCCACTTAGATGAGGTACCTAAAGTGGTCAGATTTATAGAGACAGGGTTGGGTGCTATGGCTCACACCTGTAATCCCAGCACTTTAGGAGGCCAAGGCAGGAGGATCACTTGAAGCCAGGAGTTTGAGACCAACCTAGGCAACATAGCAAGACCCTGCCTCTACAAAAAAAAAATTAAAAATTTAGCCGGCCATGGTGGTTCATGCCTGTAGTCCCGGCTACTTGGGAGGCTGAGGTGGGAGGATCACTTGAGTCCAGGAGATCAAGGCAGCAATGGACTGTGATCACGCCACTGCCACTGGACTCCAGCCTGGGTGACTGCACAAGACCTGTCTCTTAAAAAAAAAAAAGAGTCATAGAGACAGAAAACAGAATGGTGGTTACCAGAAGCTGGGGAGAGGGAAAAGGTGAAAATGCAGATTTAGTGTTTAATGGGTACAGAGTTTCAGTTTTACATGATGAGTTCTGGAGACTGGTTGACAACAATACAAATGAACTTAATACTACAGAACTATATGCTTCAAAATGATTAAGACTTCATGTTATGTGCATTTTATCATATTTTTTAAAAATTACATTTCTCCCACTCCCCTGAGTCTTGGCTGTCGCTATCTCCCTTCCCTGCCTTACGTTTCTTACAAAGCTAATATCTAAAGTCCCACTCATAGCTTGATTGCCTTTCTTGGGTTTCTGTGTTCTGCTAGTTTAGAAGCCTTAGTAACTTAAGGAGGAATGCTTCTACCAAGGAACACAATTTTATCATAGCAGAAGTGGAGGCTGGGCGCTGTGGCTCACACCTGTAATCCCAGAACTTTGGGAGGCCAACGCGGACAAATCACGTGAGTTCAGGAGTTTGAGACAAGCTTGGGCAACATGGCGAAACCCTGTCTCTACCAAAAAAATACCAAAAAACATAAGGCCGGGTGTGGTGGCTCACGCCTGTAATCCTAGCACTTTGGGAGGCCGAGGTGGGCAGATCACTGGAAGTCAGGAGTTTGACACAAGCCTGACCAACATGGTGAAACCCCATCTGTACTACAAATACAAAAATTAGCTGGGCATGGTAGAACATGCCTGTAATCTCAGCTTCTTGGGAGGCTGAGGCAGGAGAATTGCTTGAACCCGGGAGGTGGAGGTTGCAGTGAGCTGAGATCACACCATTGCACTCCAGCCTGGGCAACAAGAGCAAAACTCTGTCTAAAAAAAAAAAAAAAAATTAGCTGAGCATGGCAGTGAATGCCTATAGTCCCAGCTACTCGGGAGGCTAAGGCAGGAAGATTGCTTGAGGCTAGGAGGTGGAGGCTGCAGTGAGCAGTGGTCACATCATGCACTCCAGCCTAGGCGACAGAGCCAGACCCTATCTCCAAAAAAAAAAAAAAAGTAGACGTGGAGACTCTGCTATTATGAACAGGCAAATAAAAGGTGGTTGCAGTGCTGGCTAGGGTGTTTATCAAAGATCACCCTGAGCAACAGAGGCAGGGGACATAGTCTAGGGAATACCCAGGCAAACCTTCTGACACTAATGGGCAGGTTAGTAGATGACAGCAGCCCAACCCTGGACTACACTACTGAGGGTATACTTACATCAGTAATAAAAGTTTGGATCACTCTGTCACCTAAACAACCCAATCAGTCAAAGTTTTAGATTAAGGAAAAAACAGATAACCGTGGCCTTGTAACTATTTTCATAAAAGGTCTTGAATGAAAAACAACAAACCTAATATCACCTAAATACACACACACACACGATTTGTTTATTATTTATTTATTTATTTTTGAGATGGAGTCTCGATCTGTCGCTCAGGCTGGAGTGCAGTGGCGCGATCTTGGCTGACTGCAAACTCTGCCTCCCAGGTTCAAGCGATTCTCCTGCCTCAGCCTCCCGAGTAGCTGGGACTGCAGGCGTGCACCATCACACCCAGCTAATTTTTGTATTTTTAGTAGAGATGGGGTTTCGCCATGTTGGCCAGGCTGGTCTTGAACTCCTGACCTCAAGTGAGCCACCATGCCCGACCATTTGTTTATTTTCTATCTTCTCCCACTCAAGGATTTTTGTCTCTCTTGTTACCTGCTGTTTCCCCAGGGCCTAACACAGTGTCTGGCACATGGTAGATACCCAGTATATTTAAAAATTTGGATGTTTTTATTTGATGAGTTTTATTTTCATAGGCATAATAAACCTTTAATACACAATAGACCTCTTTCCTGTATGTTTAATAATTCCAGAGCCCAGGAACTTGGTACATTTGTGGAATGAATAAACAAATGAATGAAACAAAGGTAACCACTTCTGAATGAGAAACACAAGCAACAAAAGTTAAAAGTATGAGTAGCCAAACTCCTCTCTAGTCCCAACACACATAATACTCGGGGATATTTCCTAAAGACTGACATAGTTCAAGGATTTTTTTAAAAAACTTTATAATAGCAATAAAAGTAAGGAAGTCTACACACTCTAATGAAAGTGATTTGAGGCCAGATGCAGTGGCTCACGCCTGTAATCCCAGCACTTTGGGAGGCTGAGGCAGGCGGATCACTTGAGGTCAGGAGTTAGAGACCAGCCTGGCCAACATGGCAAAACCCCGTCTCTACTAAAAATACAAAAGTTAGCCGGGAGTGGTGGCATATGCCTGTAATCCCAGCTACTCAGGAGGCTGAGGCAGGAGACTGTCTTGAACCCAGGAGGTGGAGGTTGCAGATCACACCACTGCACTTCAGCCTGGGTGACAGGGCAATACTCTGTCTCAAAAGAAAGAAAGAAAGACAGAGAGAGAGAGAGAAGGAAGGAAGGAAGGAAGGAAGGAAGGGAGGGAAAGGAAGGAAGGAAAGGAAGGTGATTTGAGCAACATAATGCATCTAGATCTGTACTGTCCAATACAGCAGTCAGCCACTAGCCATATGTAGCACTGGGCACTTGAAATGTAGCCAGTCTGAATGGATCCATAAGCAGAAAATCACACCAGACTTCAAAAACTTAGGATGAAAAAATAATATTGTATTAGTCCGTTCTTGTGTTGCTATAAATAAATACCTGAGATTGAGTAATTTATAAAGAAAAGAGGTTTAATTGGCTCATAGTTCTGCAGGCTGTACAAGCATGGCGCTGGCATCTGCTAGGCTTCTAAGGAGGCCTCAGGGAGCTTTTATTAATGGTGGAAGGTGAAGCTGGAGCAGGCATGTCACACAGCCAAAGTAGGAGCAAGAGAGAGAGTGGGGTGTGAGACGCTACACTCTTCAACAGCCAGGTCTCATGAGAACTCACTCACTATTTCGAGGACAGCACCAAGCCATGAGGGATCCACCCTCATGGCCCAAACACAATACTACTCAGGGATATTTCCTAAAGATGTTAATTAATTTAATTTTAATTAAATTAAAATTTAATTAAAAATTTAAAAATGCCCCCCCGCCACCAGGCCCCATCTTCCAACACTGGGGATTACATTTCAACATGAGATTTAGACGGGACAGACATCCAAACGATATCAAATATATATCTCAGTAATTTAAAAATGTCAATTACATGTTAAAATGAAAATATGTTGGATATATTGAGTTAGATAAAACATATTATTAAAATTAATAGTTTAGGTTTTTATTTTTTCTTCTTTTTTGTTTTATGTTTTAAACTATAGCTACTAGAACATTTAAAATGACCTATGTTACTCACATAATATTTTTATTGGACAACGGCTGGTGTAGACTTCTCTTTTCTTTTTTTTTTTTTTAAGGAGACAGGGGTCTCACTCTGTTACCTAAGCTAGAGCAGAGTGGCATGATCATAGATCACTGTAGCCTCGAAGTCCTAGGTTCAAGGGATCCTCCCACCTCAGCCTCCTGAGTAGCTAGAACTGCAGGCATGCACCACCATGATGCCCAGCTAATATTTAAAAATTTTTTGTAGAGATGGGGTCTCACCATGTTGGTCAGGCTGGTCTCAAACTCCTGGGCTTAAGTGATCCTCTGGCCTCAGGCTCCCAAGTAGCTGAGATTACAAATATGAGCCACCATTCCTGGATAGACATTCTTTATAGTTGTGGTTTAAGAAAGCTTTGGTTCCAATAATCTTTCCTGAAGATTTGTGTTGAAGCTCCCAGAGATCAGGTGGCATTCGGATGGCAGCCATGTTGATTTGTGCTGTGCTACAATGTCCCCCACTGTTAGAGAGCATGAGACGTCCATACTAGTTGGTCTGTGTGCTGTATTGTCCTCCTTGGCCAGCTGCCCCTGGAGACCACTCCTGCAAAGAAGCAAGGACCAGCCTTCCAAAGTGGCCCACTTGTCCCTCCCTTTCATACTCAATAATTATGGAGCATCGACCAGCCAAGGCACAGGTTCAGCTCAGTGAAGGATGGCCAAGTTCCAGGAGGCAATGCAGAGTAAAGCCGGATGAGAAGTAAAGCTGGGACTGGGCGCCAGGTGCGTTGGCTCATGCCTGTAATCCCAGCACTTTGGGAGGCCCAGGCAAGAAGATCGCGAGGTCAGGAGTTAGAGACCAGTCTGGCCAACATGGTGAAACCCTCGTCTCTACTAAAAATACAAAAATTAGCTGGGTGTGGTGGCACACACCTGTAATCCCAGCTACTCGGGAGGCTGAGGCAGGAGAATTGCTTGAACCCGGGAGGTGGAGGTTGCAGTGAGCCGAGATCACACCACTGCACTCCCACTTGGGCGACAGAGCAAGACTCCATCTCAAAAAAAAAAAAAAAAATTAAAACTAAAAAAAGCTGGAACTGGGAAGGCAAGTCATCCTCAGACAGACCAGGTCGAGGAAGAAAGTTACTTCAGGGAGGGGAAGCCCAGTGCTAGGTGCAGACATGAGAATGCCCAAGAGCCTAGTGAGAGGTGGTCTGGAAGGTGCAGAGAATCCTTACAAGAGAGGAAGAAATGGGGTTAGGCTCTGGAGGGCGTGGGGGCTAGACTAAGAAGCCAGGTAAACACTTCTGCTAACCTTTCAACTTCAGGCATTCCTTTCCATAAACGTGTGCTCTTACTAGAGGGACTGGTACTCAATAGAGTGACTGGAAAGTTTGCCCAGGACAGTCCTGGTTTAGGCCTGTTGTCTCAGTTAATTATTATTATTATTATTATTATTATTATTATTATTATTGAGACGGGGTCTTGCTGTGTTGCCCAGGCTGGTCTTGAATTCCTGGGCTCAGGTGATCCTCCTGCTCCGGCCTCCCAAAGTGCTGAGATTACAGGCATAAGCCATCACCCTAGCCTCAATGAATTTTTTTTTTTTTTTTTTTTTTTTGAGACGGAGTCTCGCTCTGTCGCCCAGGCCGGACTGCGGACTGCAGTGGCGGAATCTCGGCTCACTGCAAGCTCCGCTTCCCGGGTTCACGCCATTCTCCTGCCTCAGCCTCCCGAGTAGCTGGGACTACAGGCGCCCGCCACCGCGCCCGGCTAATTTTTTGTATTTTTAGTAGAGACGGGGTTTCACCTTGTTAGCCAGGATGGTCTCGATCTCCTGACCTCATGATCCACCCGCCTCGGCCTCCCAAAGTGCTGGGATTACAGGCGTGAGCCACCGCGCCCGGCCCCTCAATGAATTATTAATGGCACCCCTTTTCATTTTCTAGAGGGCCCTTGATCACACAATTCATTACATGTATACATGTATTATGACACATTATGCAACCTGGTGCTGGAGGAGTGGGGCTGATATACCTGGGTTAACAGTGGAAAGTTCCTACCACACAGTTATGTCCCAGAGGGCTGAGATTTGATGCTGGAAATCATCCCAGTCCATGTTATAAACAATAAGGTGTCTACAGACTTTTGTTTTTGGCTAAACCTCCACGGATTTGTCCTATGACACTCCAAGCCAATCCTCCTTTCCTTTTCCCTGTTTTCACCACTGGCATTTCTCCCACTTCCTAGCTGTACAAACCTTTTGGTTACTGTCCAGCAAGTGAATTGGCCCTGATTCACTCTGAACCATCGGCACCTCGCTGGAGTTCTCTTTCTGGTTTAGTCTGGCTTTTCCCTGCTGCGTCGTAACACCAGGGTTGGAGTTCTAGGGCACCTTACATCCTATCTTATTAGTTACATAAAATTAGTTACAGAAAAACAATAAACTTAAGCTTCCTTTTTCCTAATAGCAACCCTGCCTTCCACGATTCATATATTTTAGAATTTGCAACTGTTCCTTTAAAGGACAAAACCACATCCTCACAAAGTGAGAGTGTGTGGATATCAAGATATTTAATACAAATTAACATTTCAAAGGGATGGATGGTTTGGTCAGGTGCTTTTGAAACCACAGTCTCTGTACTTGTTTATATCTGAAAGTTCAAACTGGATGAATCACTCAGAGGGAAAGTGGCATATGCTATCACCCTTCATCCTAATGACACACAGATGCCATGAGCAGAGGACGCGGTCCTCTAAGAGGCCACCACGGAGGAATAAAATGAATGCCGGAAAAAAAACAAAGACAGGTGTGTTTAGTAAATAGTCCTAAAAGTAGGCGCCAGGGCAATTTAATAAGACCAATGTTCTGATTTGTAAGCAATCTTCTACTTTGGCATTTTATATTTTTCTTGAAAAATTAACAGAGAACTGTAACATCCAAGCTCACACCACCCCAAATTGGCAATGAACACATTGTCCTATTTGCTTCAAAACTTTCTTCTTATGAAACACTTAAAGCTGACTGTTTCTTCACAGATATTATAGGTTGGTGCAAAAGTAGTTGTGGTTTTGACATTGACCAAAAGCCCCTCCCCAACTTTTTAAAAATTAATCTTGGCTCATTGCAATCTCTGCCTCCCGGGTTCAAGTGATTCTTGTGCCTCAGCCACCCTAGTAGCTGGCATCCAGCTAATTTTTGTATTTTCAGTAGAGAGGGGATTTTGCCATGTTGGCCAGGCTGTTCTCAAACTCCTGGCCTCAAGTGATCTGCCCGCCTCGGCCTCCCAAAGTGCTGGGATTACAGGCATGAGCCACCATGCCCAGCCCTCAGCCCATTTTTGATACCATATAAATATATACACACATACACACACATATATATGTATCCATATGCAAGAGTGTTGCTTTGTGTGTGGTAGTCATTTTAACTTTCAATATGCAAAGTTTTGCATTTTGTTTTCAAAATACAAAGTTTTGCATGCTACTTTATGATGTTTTACTTTTAGCCATTGCTGATTATGTAAAACTGCTCTATAGTATTCTAATATAGGAACATGCTACATTATTTTTCATCCATTCTTTTCTGATAGACAGGTAGGCTATATTTAATTTTCACTATCACAAATAAGGCCTCAGTGAACCTCCTGATAAATACCGCCTTGTGCACATGTATCAGGAGACTTTCTCCGGAAATACATCCAAAAGGAGAATTATGGAATCGAAGGGAATGTGCATTTTCGACTTGACTAGATCCTGCCAAATTGCTCTCCAAAATGGTTGTAGAATAACAATCACACCCCCACCAGCAGTGTTTGGGTTTTCCTGTTTCTCCACATCTTTGCCAAATTCTGATATTGTCAGACACTAAAGTTGTATCTCCAATTTGGGTTTCCATTTCCCTGACAACTTCTATGGCGGAGCTGCTTTTCATACAGTTAGGGGCCACTTGTGTTTCCTTTTCTGTGAACTGCTTATTCATATTATTGACCATGTTCCTACTTTTTTTCACTCTCTCTTTTTATCTTATTTCTTTTTAATGGCATACAAAATGAATTACACAGAAAACATTTTTGTCTGATTTCTCTGATTAATCTCACAATTAGATTATTTCCGTCTCTTACATGGAAAGCGATAAAAAGAAGGTGAGGGTGAAACAAGGACCTCCGGAGAAGCCACAGGGTTTGTTTTTGTTTTCTCAAGCAAAACAACCCTCACGGCATCGGCTTATCACTACCAAAGGTGATACTGGTTTTCTATTCTATTTAATAAAGAAGTCATGTACCAAGCTGGATCCAAGAGCAGGGAAAATATCCAGCTCTACTGTGTCTTATTTTCCAGATGAGAAAATTGAGACCAAGACCAAGTCTCCAGGATCACTGGAAGAAGGGGTTGGCAATTAGAACACAGAAAAGGTCTATCTGCTCATTAATTTTCTTCATTAATATGATCTTCATACCAAGATATGCAATAATTAACAACAAAGAAAAAAAAAACCCTAATATGATCTTCATATGGCTATCATTTGACGTCATTAGAACAAGTGCTGGTGATGATGGGCCGAGCAGGGGAGTTCGAGGGCTTCCCTAAAGGATTCAGATAATAAAAATTTAGGAACTACCGGCTTACAGCATAAAAATGATTAATAATCCTCTGTCTTCTTTTCCATGAAACTGAGGCTTACCCCGAGGCTTGTTTTAAAACAGCGTGGTTTTGCATTTTGCAATAAAGAAATAACCAAGTTAAAGGATCGGAACCTAACACTTTATAGCTAGAAAAGCCATGGGGAATTATCTGGATCAACTCTCCCACTTTCTGGACCTTGCAGCTTCAGCTGGAATAAATCTATGGTTCCCCCGATCCCGTCCACGTGTGGGGAACAGCTCTCAGGAGGCAAAGCTGTCAGACAAGAGAACCAGGGAGGCAATTTCCTTCAGGAGCCATTTGGAGCCAGGAGCTTCACTGAAACACTTAAAACAATCATTCAGGGATGTTTTTCCCCAGTGGTTTTTAAACTTTCATTTCACACACGAGGTTTCAGTAGATTTGTTTCATATCCTTGCCTAGATGGTAAGCAGCACTTGTGAGTAGAAAGGAAAAGCAATTGAGTTGGATCTTGGTTGCTATGGCAACATTGCTATTTTGATTACGACTGTTTACTGCGGCCAAGTCACATTAAATGTGAGCAGCTAATTAAGATGATGCTTCAAACGTCAACCTTACGCGTAAGAAAAATATAAGCACTTTAAAAATGACACCAGAGGGTTGCTTGATACATACATATTCAGCAGAGAGATAATTCCCCGTTTCCTGGGGAAGCAGAAACCTGATCCTTTTTCCTTCAAGAGGAGATTGTGGGCCTCCCACAATCTGTCCAAATCAACAAGTCAATATTTGGTAGTTCTTAGATTTAAAGAGAAACAGAACAAGATTTCTATCAAAACAGAGCCAGTTTCAGTGTTGACATTTGCAATAAGCCTTTCCCAGAGAAGGTAACATCTGTAATAGATGAGGAAAGTCTGGCGTTTTTCCATATGCCATAGAAGTTTTGTTAGATGTGGATTTTTGTAAACAGATTTCATTCCATATCAAGTCGACATTAAGTATATCTATGAAGTCAGAGAATGGATTGTAAACAAACACACTAGAATGTACTGATACAGCCGAGCACTTCCCCTTTAAAGTAATCACCCCAAGGGCCGAGCTCTTATTTGTAAAATGACATCGCTGAGAACCTGTTGGAGCCCCTTAGGAGTCATCTTCACTCCCTCTGGAAGCTTCTTATGAATGTCCTCATTGGTGACAAATCTCCATCCTCAGGGGACAGAATCTCCTTTTTAGAAACTGTTAAGAGGCATGAGGAGTGAAATCTGTAAATAATGTAGGTGATCAAGCAGGATAACATGGCCTGGGGTGAAAGGCAAGGTTTGTCTACAAAAGAAAATTGATTTTCTTATGTTACACATGCTGGTTCTCAAAGCAGTTTTCGCAAAGGTATTCTAACATCAGTTCTGTGCAATGCAGGCAACACAGTTTTACTTTCAAATATGTTACCTTGTAAGGTAGACTTAAGTTCTGGCCTTTGCAAAAGTTCATTGCCATAGATCAGAAATCTGGTTTTGTCCTAAGAGAAGAGATGTCTGTGAGCATGGACTTGGGAAGAAGCCTTGAGTTTGAGTCCTAGCAAGTCCTTTACTGGCTATGAGATCCTGGGCAAGTTACTTCACATCTCTGAATCTCCATGTCCTCATCTATAAGATGGGGTTAGTAACAGCTCCTACCTCATAGGGCTCTTGTAAGGATTAAATGATTTATTAGCAGGAAGCCCAGCACATGCTAAGTGCTCAATAAATAAAAGATACTTTATAATTAGTACCTTAGTAACAAGAATAGTACCCACAGCAGAGTTGTTAGAGTATTAAGGTACTTGTTCTTTAACGTCTGGGATTTTTCAAAGTGAATAGTGAATGCTTCTATTAATATATGTCTGGCTGGGCACGGTGGCTCATGCCTGTAAGCTCACCATTTTGGGAGGCCGAGGCAGGTGGATCACCTGAGGTCAGGAGTTTGAGACCAGCCTGGCCAACGTGGTGAAACCCCATCTCTACTAAAAATACAAAAAATATTAGCCAGGCATGGTGGCGTGCACCTGTAGTCCCAGCTACTCGGGAGGCTGAGGCACAAGAATCATTTGAACCCAGGAGGCGGAGGTTGCAGTGAACCGAGATCGCACTACTACACTCCAGCCTAGGCGACAGAGTGAGACTGTGTCTCAAAAAAAAAAAAATATATATATATATATATATATATATATATGTCTACTACACAGTGATAGATATTATATCAAAAGGAAACTCCAGACAAACAAGCATTTATTTGTAACTGTAACTGGAAGGAACATCAGCCTTACCAATAGCTACTGCCCCATCCTGGCATTAGAGTTGAAGGGATGAATCATAGTGAACATTACCCATCTCACAGCAGGAGGACTATGATTATACAGAGGTCCCTGGTGCACCCTCTGCAAAGTAAACATGATCCTAGTGTGGGCAGAAACAGCAGGTGCCTCAGTGTGTGGGAGTGTCAAACACAGAAGCCCAGGCTGGTAGAGCCCTCCAGCCATCCCCAAACACATCCCTCTAAGGGGGACCTGCACCAGGATGTGGGTGGGACTGAAATGACTCAACCTCCAGAGAGCCTGATGGTGGCAGTGGTTTTTGTAAGTTGATGACAGCTATTAATCAAGCAAAGAGCTTCAGGAAAAGTTTGAGTTAGTAAATACACTGAAGAAGAGAAACAGGCAGCATTAAAAATAAAACAAAAAATTGTGAAAATAGGCAGAGAAGATCTAGAGTTCACAGAATGACTGCTGGCTGAGTCAGAATCACAGCGCTGAATTAAACGGGCAAGACAAGAAGGAAACACCATGAGATCAGTTATAGGAGATCACTCTCAACACCCATGCCTCCCATTTACACTTGAATTTAAGGAGAGCAAAGCTTTGAGCCTTCTCTCCTGAAGCACATAACATTGGAGAACACAGAAAACTCAAAGAAACTGGAAAAAAGCCACAAAATCTAAAATTTGCGTGATACAACTTACGCAGAAAAGGAATATAGACAGAAGACAAGTGAAAACTGAGGCTAAGTGACAGAGAAAGATGGGTTTGGGATGCATTTGTGTTGGGAAATTTTCTAACATGAGTTATTAAGGGCTAGAAGTGAGGAATACATGGAATTGAATTTCCACCTTCGCGAGGATACCTCTAGTGTGGTCACAGAAATAGTTACTTATTTTTGACAAAAGAATATGGTAGACAAGATATTCTGAAAATCCTTCCTGTTACCAAACATCTAAAACTGTTGGATAAAATATTTTTGAAAAATCTTTTAAAATGTTTGACTGAGCTGGTAACAAAGCAAGGAAAGCCTGTACAGACCAAAAGCAAAATGAGAATAGAAGTTCTGAGAGGTCTGCAAACCCTGAGCTGGTGTCTAGACCTAGCATGTCAGCTTCAACGTCCACACAGGGTTCAGGACACAAAGCCTAGGGCCATGGCAAGGTGGGGGTGCTTAACAAGAAATCACCACATAAAGCTGAGAGCCCTGAAGTTACGCCACCAGAGAAAAAGTGAACTAGAGAACAAAATACGCCTTGTAAAAGGTTATAGTAAAACAAAACAAACAAAAACTTGTCTTGGCCTTGGCTCTGGGTAGAGAGAGAGAGAAAAAAAAGAAATATCTGCCCCAAGATTTAACCTGATAAAAGAAAATAAAAGGAAAAAAAAAAAAGAAAAAAACAATTGATCATGAGCCAGAACTCACATGTGTTTGTGCTCAAATTGAAACTATTTTTGTGGTCTAAAAACCTCTAAGCCAGCTATTTATTTTAATATGGTTCCAGACTGACATGCCCTCATATGTCTAGTGAAAGCAAGCGTAAACCTTAGAGGGATGTACTTTCAACCAAACACCAAAAGAAACCGTCCACACAGAGTTCCATTGAACATGAGCTCAAAATGCACAGGGAAAAAACAAATCTACCTTTACCGAGTGGGAGTAAGCAAAGTGAGCCAGCAAACAAGGCCCATGGTGGCTTCAGATATTGGCGTTAACACAATCAGGATATAAGGCAAATATGCTTAATATGTTAAAGAAATAAAATGGGAAGTTGAAAGTTTGAGTTAGGAACAAGAGACTACAAAAAATGAACAGGTAAATGAGAAAAATAAACAAAAAGCACAATGAGAAAATGTTAAATTACAGAAAAAGAAAAAATATAGTAATAGGTATTTATACCTCAGCAAATAGGTAAAACAAGACTAGAGTCCAGTGGAAAGATAATTAGAAAATAGAAATCAGAGTTGAAGATATTACTTACAATTTAGCATAGAGAGAGAGATAGAGAAAAAAATAAGAGATATGGAAGTCAAAGTGAGATGGTCCAACATGCATGTAATTGGAATTTCAGAAAGAGCTAACAGAGAGAACGAAGGAAAGGCAATGCACAATGAGACAACGAGTTAATGGGTGGGAATTTCTCAGAACTGATAAAGCACAAATCCTCAAATTTATTAATCACAATGTTCTGTAAACAAGAAGGCAATGAAACAAGACCTTCAAAGTTCCAAGAAAATAATTACCAACTTAGGGACGTGCAGGCAATGGTGAAGGAGTTAAGACATCAGTCTCTTAACTGGCCAGATCGACCAAAATAATAAATGTCATACCCAGATTGCCCTTATATCCAAAGCTCATTTTCTAAAAGTGCTTGAAATAGACAATATTCTTACCACTTAGGCTGATGTACAGAAATTTTATCTGAAGGTAGAGGAAGGAGCTACATACAATTTCAAGGTTTTCTATTCCTTTAGTGACACATCTATTTAATTCACCAAGGTAGTCCAGCTATCCTTGAAACAGTATTCCAATGCTAGACTCTGATCTCAAATCACACGTGATCATCTTAAAAGTATACAGTTCATCTCCACTCTATATTTTGTTTCTGAAAGTTTCATTCCATAATAAGCCAGTTATGCAAAATCATTCAACTTCAAAGTTGTTCTAGGTTGGTTTTATAAAAATTGTAAAGGCTATTAATGTTTTGTAGACAATGTTCTCTTTCTCCATAGTCAACTATTTCCATTTGCTTTTTAAGTAACTTTATCTTCCTAACTCAGCTCATGCGTGCTGCTCTAATAGCCTCTGCATTGCACTACTGAGTGTGCAGCCATTGGCCCACAGACAAAGATATCTATTCCAAACACTCTTTTGGAAAAAAGGGAAAATAATTATTTCTACTCTTTCATGATATTCACTCTTTGAAGAGATCATGAGAAAGAAGCTGTTTAAGCTTCAAGAAAGCAGTTAAATGTACTTTTAGTCAATAAATTATGCCAATCATAAGATAAACAGAGGCAGAAATTATGAGTCATGGAGTTATTACTGATAACATTTACTGCCTTATTAACATTTTAGAATTTTCTGTTATCTAAGGTTCTCCATAAATTTCATTTCACATATAAATGCATAAACCTAAAAAGGAATACAAATTTGAAGGATGCTATGAAGAAGAAAAAGAAATGAAAAATAACCTAATTATACTGGTCATTCTGGATGACTAAATTTTTTTGACCTCTAAGTGGCAAAACCTCAAATGCATTTGAAGCTTTAGCTCCTAATGGGGCCCCCAAAACACCCATGCACACAATAAATCTTTCATGCAAATTTCTGTTTTTCTATATTTTGATCTAGGTAGTGGTTATGTGGGTATACACCCACATATATAAAAATTCACCAAACTGTAACACATAAGATTTATGTACTTTACTATATGTAAATGGTATTCCAATTAAAAAAATATTTATGTATACATATGCATGTGCACACACACACACACACACACACACACACACACTCGCTATTTTCAGTAAGTTATGGATGTGGCATAGAAATTAAGTTTTTTCAAAAAGATTCCTAGATGGTTCTAATTGGTAACCACTATCCTAAGGCTACTGAAACATGCCTTGACAAGACATTCACTAAATATTTGTTTCAGTGAATGAATAAATGAATGAATGAATGAACAAAGAAACTAATAAATATCTTTTATTTATGGTTGTAGGTGTTCCATTGACTAAGGCCAGAACAAGCCCTAAGAATATTAAAAAAAAGAAATAGCAATCCAGATAATGTTCTAAGCACTTTAAATGCCTTACCTTATTACAACTCACAAAAGCCCTATTAGGTAAGTTGATTCTTCTGGGTTTTTAGTTACAACCAACATAAATCACTTTGGCTGCTTCAAGCAAAAAGACATATTAAGGAACACATAGTTGACATCATTGTTAGGAGAGCTGCAGAAATGGACTTTAGGCCTAGCTTTTAGGAATTACTTCTTAAACCATTCAGCAGAAATGAACGGCCAAAGGGGCTGTTGCCTTGATCACTATTAAGAACCTAAAGAATTAGGAAGCTGCCGGTTCAGATGTTGCTCCAAACTAACAACTGGAAGCTTCCCAATAAAAAAGCTGACTGTTAAATCAGGACGCTATCACTACAGCGACTAGTTCCAGAACGATGCTGCCTCTGCCACTATCCATACCAGCAAAAAATGAAGGTCCTATGTCCCATCTCTCATCCCACACAATCTAGATCTGAATTCAAAGGTTTATGGAAATGCATTTAGTTAACAAACCCTGAACAGTAGCTTTGAGGGATTCTGGAAATGGAAAGTTTCCATTCTCTGTCAGATGAAAAAAAAAATCAAGCTAAAAGGGGATTGGAATAGGTATTGAGTGGACTAATCAACAGATTCACAAATTATGAAACTGAGGCACAGAGATTACGAAACTTGTTCAAAGGCATGCAGCTAGCTAGTTAAGTGGCAGAGCCAGGATTCAAACTCAAGAAGTATGGCTCCAAAGACTAATAAAGCATGCAAGAAAATAACAATATGGTGAACAGGCAAGCTCATGGGGATGAAGTCTCTAGTCATACATACTTTTGCTCATAAATAGCAACTTCTAATTTACTGTACTCAATTATCCTGCTATTACCTCTAGGAATTAAAAGTCTCACAGTTTCTCATCTTCAAAATGCAAACAGATGTCATTAATTTACTTGAGCATTTTATTCTGGTCTAGAAAGTGTTCTCAAGTATTGTGGGGGCGCAGGGACAACCTGAAAAAGGTTCTTCCACCAAACAGTGACTGGAGACATCCATTCCCAGGCTTCGATAACCACCTCCAACTGCCAGCTCCTCACATTAGTTCCATGGCACAAATGAAAAGAATACTTAAAAGCATCCTGAAGTTATTTTAGGAGTTTCTAATGGAACATCTTACTAATCCTACATCAACAAAGTTTGGGAAGCTATGTTGGATGCAACAGAATGACAGTTATTTAGCCTCTGCTTTGGAAAGCTGACCATTCTATAAGCTTTTATGGTCTAGGGAGCTTGAGACTAAAGCTTGCAGTGTATTTTCTGTTATCTGAACATGTACTTCCACACATCTGTGGTATACTTTGGTCTGCTTTTCTGTCTATCTGTCTATCTATCATCTATCTATCTATCTATCTATCTATCTATCTATCTATCTTTCTATCTAATTTATCCATTCATCCATCTCTTCATTTACCCATTCATCTCTCTATGACCCAGATATAAGAATAAAAACATTAAACTGTATCCAAAATAAATATATCAATATGTATAGGCTAAAGCTGGAGAGAAGTGAGAAGGGTCAGTTTCAAATCACAGGATAGAAATGTTGAATATTCCCCACAAAGGAGAATGTGTCAGCTATTTTTTAAAAGATTATAATTTTGAGCAGAAATCCTTCTAGGGGCAAAGAAAAGAGAAAATATTTCATTTGACATGACAAGTTGTAAAATGCAAATCTGCCAGTTTTGGAAGGGTAAATATTTGCTGAAGATTAAGTACATGACAAAGGTACGTCATTAAATCTAAAGAAATTAAAGAGCTCAATTTAATATCACATGCATCTACTCCATTTCTAATAAGCATACAACCTCAACTAGCATGAGCCACAGTCCAATCTATCTCCATGGTGTAGGAGGAAATGATAGATATCTTCAGCATGACTTCCAGCAAGGTGAGTCTGAGTTAATTACTCCAGGAGCAAGTTAAAATGGGTTTAGTTAAACACATGAGCCTGACAAGGACATCAGCCACATGCTGGACAAAATTTAATATTAATCAAATGCACATCAAACTATCAGTGACATGTACACAGAAGCAGGGCTGCTTAAAATTTATCTTTTATTTTTAATTCTTTATTTATTTTTGAGACAGAGTCTCGCTCCGTCACCCAGGCTGGAGTGCAGTGGCGCCGTCTCAGCTCACTGCAACCTCTGCCTCGCTGCAACGTCCACCTCACAGACTCAAACAATTCTCCTGCCTCAGCCTCCCGAGTAGCTGGGATTACAGGCACCTGCCACCATGCCTGGCTAATTTTTGTAGTTTTAGTAGAGATGGGGTTTTGCCATGTTGGTCAGGCTGGTCTTGAACTCCTGACCTCAGGTGATCTGCCTGCCTTGGCCTCCCAAAGTGTTGGGATTACAGGCATGAGCCACTGCACCCTGCCAAAATTTATCTTTTAATTCATAACTAATTTTTATTTTTATCTACATAATATATACTCATAGCTTTTAAAAGTCAGATGAGACTAAAAGTCTTACAATGAAAAAGAAGTTTTCTATTCCTTCCATTCTCCTTTCCATTTCCCATAATCTACCACTCCAACTTACTATTCCTTTTGGCTTTTAAAATCTTTATATGTCTAATTAATATGCTCATATATGATAATGTATCAGTTTTAGACATTATGTGTTGACATCCTATTACAGCAGGTAAGCATATAAGTCTCAGGCACACACATGCACACAAACTCATATATGCACAGATACACAGGTGCTTCCCTTGCCCCATTCTCTAAATATGCTCATATCCAATTTTTATTAGAGCAATATTCAGTGTTTATACTATCATAACTATACAAAGATTGATCGCTACTAAATGTACTACGTTTCATTTACTGTACAATGTTATTGCTTCTGTGGTAAATAGGTATTTTTTTTCCGTCTTTGCCTGCTTTGTTTTGTAACTACAGCTGATCCTTGAACAAGGTAGGTTTGAACTGTGCAGGTCCACTTATATGAGAATTCTTTTCAATAAACATATTGGAAAATGTTTTGGAGATTTGCAACAATTTGAAAAAACTTGCAGACAAATTGCGTAGCCTAAAAATATCAAAAAAATAAGAAAAATTAGGTATGTCATGAATGTGTAAAACATATGTAGATACTAATCTATTTATGTTGTTAATCCACTGTTCATATGATCTGTAAGGCTTCTGGTCAACAGCAGGCTGTTAGTAGTTAAAGTTTTGGGGAGTCAGTGCAGCCATAAAAAGGAACGAGATCATGTCCTTTGCAGGGACATGGATAGAACTGGAAGCCATTATCCTCAGCAAACTAATGCAGGAACAGAAAACCAAACACCGCATGTTCTCACTTATAAGTGGGAGCTGAATGATGAGAACACATGGGCACATGGAGGGGAACAACACACAGCGGGGCCTGTTGGAGGTGGGGGGTGTGTGGGGGGAGGGAGAGCATCAGGAAGAACAGCTAATGGACGCTGGGCTTAACACCTAGGTGATGGGATGATGTGTGCAGCAAACCACCATGGCACACATTTACCTATGTAACAAACTTGCACATCCTGCACAGGTAACCCTGAGCTTACAATAAAAGCGGAAGAAAAAAAAGGTTTTGGAGAGTCAAAAATTATTGCAGGTGGTGGGCGGAGGGGAGGCCAATACTCCTAACCCCTCTGTTGTTCAAGAGTCAACTGTATCCTAATTTTACCCATACCCTCCAATAGCCTCTCAATACAAATTTCCACATGTAGCCTGTTGCGATAGCTCCTCAGGACCCCAGCCCTCCCGGAGAATCTTCTGTCCTATTGCTCCAGTTGGCCTGGCTGCCCTCCAGGCTTGCTCCATAGCTGCTGACCTGGGCCCCACTCAGTTCCACTCCTATATTTCTTGTATGATTTCTAGGATGCCTTCCTCTGCCCCATTGCCCCATTTTCCATTTTTTTGTTTGTTTTGTTTTGTTGCAGATTTCTCCTGCTCCATCCTTGTCTCTGTTTCTTTTAAGTTCTTTATTTATCAGTCTTGGTCTCTATATTTTGTAATAGGGGATTTCCTCAAATAGCTGGTGATTTTTGGCTGTGAGTTCAAATCTAAGGGTGAGGCATTAAAATGCTCATTGGAAGCTCTTGCTATGGGTAGGGCTTATGGTCTGGGGAGTTTCATATAGGATGACTGAACTGTTTTTCCAGAGAGGGATCCTCCCACGTCCTGACTGGCCAGTGACAAGTAAGGATGGTGTTTTAGACAGGAAGGTCCAGGAGGAGAAGGTGGCATTGAATCAGAGACATAAATGCAAGGAGGGAGCGGGCAATGCGAATATCCGGGGTAGGCAGATTCCAGGCAGAGGAAATGGCAAAGGCCATGAGATGGGAACAGCTTTGCAAGGATGAGAGGCCACTGTGGCTAGAGCCATGGGAGCAAGGGGGAGTGCAGGAAGGAGGACATGCACTTCTGGTATATGGAAACAACTTTCACACAGACCTGGTCAGGGACATTAAAAAGCCAAATATTAAAATATTCCATGATATTGTGTAAAAATGAATTGGAATCATTTTTTACAGTATTTGACATCAGACATGGAAAATCACTACTGATTTGCCTTTGTTTGGTTAATCAGGCAGGCTAACAGTTTTGTGCAATTATCTACTCTGTTCAACACTGAAGATTCTGAAAAATAAAAAATTGGTATCTCGTAAACATTTACACTAGAGACTCTCTGAATAAGATATAAATCTGTACACATGTCTCAGCTCAACCAAAGGAAGCAGCTCATGTTGTTGAAAAAAATCAAAAGCTTAAAAAAAAAAAACAACCAGTTGTCAAGGCAACGAGAAAAAAAAATAGACAGAAAATAGTTTCTATCTCAACCACTGTTACATAGTGAAGCTGAATAACTCCTGGTCCTGCTTTGGAAGTTTTATTTAACCTCCGATCGGTCATGTTAGTAGATTGAGGCATGAATGGAGAATCCAGGGGCAAGTTGCTAGCATAAAGCCCCTTAGGAAAAATGTGAGCTCTATGGTTTACAGGTGAAGGCAGGAGAATGATTTTCTTTCTCTAACAATTTTTCTGCAACTTTTCCTGTATAACACAATTTTGCAGAGAATTTCCATTTATCAGCTAGATACCAAATGGTTATTGAGAGACCAGAAGGTCAAATAACTTGTTGGAGGATTTCCAGATCCTTCTCTTTGAATTTCTGTAATTTCAGAGAGTGACTCAGAGTTGACTTTAAAGGCCATCTGTGCTCCTCCACCAGCCCCCACTGCTGAAAGCCCTGGCACTCACATGCTGCCAAACACATTCTCAACTCTCTGCTTCCCAGTTTTCTTCACCTGGTGCTCCCTGGGGACGCTGTGCCCATCCCCTCCCCTAGGAAGCCTTCCCCAGTTCCCCAGGTAGAGCTGGCCAGCCCCCACCACAGCTTCTGCAGTGCTCAGTAGATGGTACTTGGCAGGTCTTACCTCCCATTGAATATCTGTGTTTGTTTTCTTATGGCACGGGGACTTCCCAGAGGCAGGGACCCTGTTCTAGCTATGGTCTCCTGGCACAGTGTGATGGTAGATATTTTTTAGTGAATGAGAATGAATGAATTAGTGTATAGCCCTAGCTTTGAATGTGAAAGAACAATCCCAAATCACCATCAACACAACTAGCGGGAAGAATCTGGAAAGCTAGATAGTACAAAGGGGAGGCAAATGTGTCTGTTCCCAGCTCAACCCCTAGCCAGCAGTGTAGAGGTAGACTTCTCTTATTTCCCAAACTGTGTCTGCAGAATACCACCTATGTTCTCAGGGATGGTTGTGGGGCTTCCATGAAAAAAAAGGACTCCATTTTCTAATAAGTTTGAGAAGGGTAGCCTGCTATCATCTGAATGTGTTCCCCTATTCATATGTTGAAATCCTAACCTCCAAGGTGATAGTATTAAGACATAGGGCCATTGGGAGATGATTAGGTCATGAAGGAGGAGTCCTCATGAATGGAACTCATAAAGGAGACCCCAGAAAGCCCCCCTGCCCCTTCCACCATGTAAAGGCACAACTAGAAGGTGCCCTCTGTGAACCAGGAAGTGGTCTTCACCAGATGCTGAATCTGTTAGCACCTTGATCTTGGACTTCCCAGCCTCTAGAACTGTAAGAAATAATATTCTATTGCTTATAAGCCACATAATCTACAGTATTTTGTTATAGAAGCCCAAATAGACTAAGACACAGGGTGAAAAACATCAAACAGATCTTTACCAAAGACCTTTGCACAACAGTATCTAGCCCACAGAACTGTAAGAGGATGGGATGAGGCAATCCAGGCAAAGTGCTACTAAGCTTGATTAATACTAACTACTGTTTTCATTACCATTACTCTTCTCAAACATCTGTACTTCTGTAGATTGTTTTTTCACATTGAGGACAAGTACTTTTAATTAAAAAAACAAAAAAAGAATGCTACTTGACTCAGCTCATTGGTCAAATTAGAATGTAACCCAGCTGGATGAGTTTGTAGCATTTTTTGCCTATATTATTATATAAATAATCTCTTTCCTAAGTTCTTCTGCATAAAAGTCACACATGCTAATTTCTCTATTCAAAAAAATTAACTTGGAAAAGTTATATTTGAAGAGAAGGACTCACAGGATAGGAGAACCCACTCCTGAAGGCAGGAAGACTCTTCCATAAACCTTTCTCCTGGAGGCAGGGAGCTCTTTTCCCTGCTAAGTCCTGACACCCTCCCGGCCTCCAGGAGAAGGCTCAGACAGGAATGGTAGCTCCCGATCTGCTTTCCCCAAAATTGAGCACTGTTCACTGAAAATCAGCAGAACATAAATATCACATCTACAAAGTAGGCAGATATCTGGATCCTAAGGGTCACAAAGCTGAAGGGAATCAAATGTAAATACCACTTGAAGTTTCACCTCCTCAATGCCAATGACAGAAGTATTATCTGAGATGAATGGGGTTCCAGAAGAGAGGGCTATAGGACCACTTTAGGTAACTGAATGTAGGCTAAGCGTTAGAGCAAATGGAAATGACAAAGATGTGAATCTAAATTATGTTTCTTTTCTCTTTTCTGGACAACTATTCCGCCCCTCACCTGCCCCCTCTCTCTTTCTCTCTCTTTTTCTCCCTATCTCTGTCTAGACATGAATCCAAATTATGTTTCTTTTCTCTTTTCCAGAAAACTATTTTCTCTCTCTCTGTGTTTCTCCCTGTCTCTGTCTCTCTCTCTCTGTCTCTCCCTGTCTCTGTCTCTCTCTCTCTCTGTTTCTCCCTGTCTCTGTCTCTCTCTCTCTCTTCCTACAGGCAGCAGGACACTCAGTTAGATGGACTCTGTTCAGGACAGACAGTAATTTATAGCAACATAATCAAGCAGAGGCCTAGAGAGATAATGCAAATGTCACATTGCCCTCAACCAGGGCAGAGCGGAACAAACAAAACAATGTACCCATTAAGGTCTTTTAAAGGTCAGGAGAAACAGTCTGTCAGGGTTGCAGGAGTGATTTTTCTTCTTACCAATGGACAACCTCATTTAAATGAGTATTATTTCAACATTTCGGAAGTCCGAAATAATCTGTACACCAAACCCGAGTTGTGAGTTTACCTATATAATAAACCTGCACGTGTACCCCTCAACCTAAAATAAAAGTTAAGATATTAAAAAACAAATAAATATTTCAGGAGTCTAAAGCAAAACTGGGGACAAGCTCAGAGGAGTCTCGTGGAAAAAAAGTCAAAAAGGAGAGAAGCCGAGGAGTCTATTTTAGGACTGTTTTAGGAGTCTATTTTTAGGAGGAAAGAGCAAGAGTACTAGCACTGTATGGTGTATGCACCAGGAGCACAGCAGCCCAGGAGCTCCAGGTCAGGAGAAGGAGGACACGTCAGCCATGCAACACTGGCCAGTCACCGCATGGTTCCAGAAATGTAAGCAACAGCACAGCCTTGCACAACTGCTCAGATACCCTCTACCTGGAAAAGCAAATCTTCTGTTATAATTCTCAGGAGAGGACCAGGATTAATGGGATTTTAAGGTCTAAAATATGTTGGATACCTGCTTTTTTCCCCATTTATTTATTTATTTATTTATTTATTTATTTATTTATTTATTTATTTATTATTTTGATTTCCAGCTTTTAAGTTCAGGGGTACACATGCAGGCTGAGCAGGTTTGTATGATCCCTGCTTTCAGGATGAGACTGAGGATGATTATATTAGTAGACTGCATGGTTTTACCCCGGAAGAATACTTTTTTTTCGTGATTTGGAGCATAATGTATATACTAGCCAAACTAATCTTAAAAATTTAAGCCGTAGCTGGGTGTGATGACACATGCCTATAGTCCCAGCTATTCAGGAGACTGAGGCAGGTGGATCACTTGAGCCCAGGAGTTTGAGACCAACCCAGGCAACATAGCAAGATCCTGTCTCTAAAAAAGAAAATTAAATAAATAAAATTTAAGTGGTGAATAAGAGGAGCTGAGTTACAAATTATGGCTTACTATTTTCCAGCAAGACGTGAAAGCCCCGATCTTAATCCAAGTTACACCTTTGTATTTGGAGTAAAGAAAATCAAAGTGGCAACACGTGCAGTTCCACTCTGCCCGAGGAGCTTTTAACAATGTGGAGAAGTCTGTCTCCTGGATTCACTTCCATTATTCTCTAGAAATGAAGAGAGGCCCAGCGCAGAGGCTCATGCTTGTAATCCCAGCACTTTGGGAAGCCAAGGTGGGCAGATCACTTGAGGCCAGGAGTTTGAGACCAGCCTGGCCAACATGGTGAAACCCCATCGCTATTGAAAATACAAAAATTTGCTGGGCGCAGTGGTGCGCGCTTGTAATCCCAGCTACCTGCGAGGCTGAGGTGGGAGGATCACTTGAAGCAGGTAGGCGGAGGTTGCCAAGACAGCTGCACAGCATTCCAGCTTGGGCAAAAGAGCAAGGCTCCGTTTCAAAGAAAGAAATGAAAAGAAAGGGTGGGGAACACGGGGCAGAGAGCATGAAAGCACATGTATTATAGGAAAAGCCAAAGAAGAAAAAAAAATACAACAAAATAGTAAGAGCTTCCCTCTGTAGAAGGATTATGAGTGTTTACCTTTTTCTTCTTTGTGCTTTTTTCACATTTCACATTTCCTAATCTTCTACAATGAACATGTAAACAAGAAAATTGAGAGAGAGAGAGAGAGAGAGATCAAAGGGATTCGGCAACTGAAATGGAGACAACTCCAGGGAAGCAACACAACTACTGTCACTTAAAAGCGAATCTTTGCTGCTGCCTCAGGTAGGGCTTCTGTTCATCTTCCTGTTTCTTCAAGGCCACAGTCCATCACTTGTCCAGTATTTATTAAATGTTTGCCGGCCAGTCACCACATGGTTCCAGAAATGTAAGCAACAGCACAGCCTTTCATATCTCCTGAATGGAGATATGAAAGGTGGGCTGTTGGCTTCAACGAACTTGTGGTCAAGGAATATTCAAAAGAAATAAAATACGTAAAGTAGTATTAACCGCTAAACTATGCTCTTTTGATGATGGCTGTAAATTACAGCTTACAGAGAACAGAAGCTAGAGGTGCTATAAAGACTTCACTGAGCCAAGAAACCTGAGTTGACCCCCAAAGGAGGTGGGGAGTTGGATAAATGCTTATGGTTCTTCACAAAAAGACCATGGCTAGGCTGAAGTATCTCAACAGTTTCTTTTGGTAGGTAATAAAGTTCTGCTTAAAGACAATTAAATACTTGTGTGACCTTTAACCTTGGATCACTGTCATTTTCAATGGTCTGCACTGCTGTGGTGTTCCTTTTCTCATAAGCCAGCACGAAGCACCCACCTAGAGGTGAAGCACAGAAGGATGGTGACCAACTCTTCCTTAAATTATTGCAATGCCTTATTTTCAAACTGATTTTTTTTTACTTTTTATTAAATTATAACGTGCGTATATCAAAGTGCCTAATGCATAATGTAGTCCCTAAAAAATTAAATAAATAAATAAAATTTAAGCGGTAATAAGAGGAGCTGAGTTACAAATCATGGTATATAATATTCATGGTATACTAAATCATAAGCTCTATTAACTTTTACAAACTGAATATACCCAGTATAATCAGCACTGAGATCAAGAAACAGAACAGCACCAGAACCCCAGAAGACCTCCTTTTGCCTCCTTTCAACTATTACCTTCTAAGACTTACCACCATTCTAACACCTACATTGCTTTTTTTTTTTTTTTTTTAAGACGGAGTTTCACTCTTGTTGCCCAGGCTGGAGTGCAATGGCGCAATCTCGGCTCACTGCAACCTCTGCCTCCTGGGTTCAAGCAATTCTCCTGCCTCAGCCTCCTGAGTAGCTGAGATTACAGGCATGTGCCACTACGCCTGGCTAATTTTGTATTTTTAGTAGAGACAGGGTTGGTCATGTTGGTCCATGTTGGTCAGGCTGGTCTAGAACTCCCGACCTTAGGTGATCTGCCCACCTCAGCCTCCCAAAGTGCTGGGAGTACAGGCGTGAGCCACCGCATCTGGCCACATTGCTTTGTCTTTTATACTTTATATAAATGGAATCATGCAGTATGTACTCTTTGCTATCTGGCTTCTTTCACTCAACCTTATATGCATACAGTGGCAGTTTGTTCATTTTCAATGATGAATAGTATTCCGTGATGTGAACACACTACCATTTATTTATCTGATAAAGGGCATGTATAGAGTTTCTAGTTAGGGCCGTTATGAGTGTTGCTGTGACTATTTCAGTGCATGTCTCTCCATGAACATACGGATGCATTTCTCTTAGGTACTTACCTGGGAGTAGAACTGTCTATGTATGCTCACTTTTGAAGAAACTGCAAATAGGTATAACAGCTTATCTGAGAACTGAGGGCCCAGTTCTGCTTTTGCCTGCTTTTAGTCCTAATGATGGGGTTCTATACCAGATCTGTACCAAATCTGATCTTCTATCACCCAAGACTGAAAGACTCCCAAACCATTCTATTGCATCTACCTTAAAAATATTATCTTCACAGATATTGCCTGTGTTTTTTTTTCCTAAAGAAGAGGCTGTTAACCAAGAAGGGTAGAATAAATTATATTGTAGTTCAAGGCAAATTCTATTATAAAGGACAAGCTGCCTAGCAAAACACAACTTATAATTACATTTAACTTCAAAATAAATCAAATTATTCATACAAACCCAACCACTCACTGGTAAATTAATGAAAAACATGACAGTATTGAGCTTTGAATTGCTTCTATGCAAACCCCCAAACTTAAATTTAGGTTATTAAGGCCGAAAAGAGGCAATTAATTTGCAACAAATGCATCCGTAAAAACCTGTTACAACATGGCTGCGGAGTTAATCTTCTCTAAGTTTATAAAGACCATCTGCCCAATTTTTTTGCAGGTTTTCCTTTAGACAATCCTATTTAGACAGTCCCTCCAGACTAATTGCTTTCTTGCTTTTTGAGGGGAGAGGGAGATTAGTATCTTTTTCCAATATCTCCAGTATATAAGCTTCATAAGAGCTCTGTTATCTCAAATGTTGAGTTTAATTTCCTTTCCAGAACATATTGGTCAGAATGTTAAACCTCAAATAAAAAGATTAGTGAGTAATAGTAGGGCTTAAATAAATTAAGGCTTGTAGGCTATGTTGCTACTTTCTGTTTCCAAAAGATAATCTTTTTTCATGTTATTAAACATCATTTGTGACCTTTAAAAAGAACTCCCTGAACTCATTAATTAATAATAAAATCTGGCTGGGCATGATGGCTCACACCTGTAATCCCAGCACTTTGGGAGGCCAAGGCGGGCAGATAGATTGAGCCCAGGAGTTGAGACCAGCCTGGGCAACATAGTGAGACTCTGTCTCTACAAAAATAATTCAAAAAATGAGCCAGGCATGGTGGTGCATGCCTGTAGTCTCGGCTACTCAGGAGGCTGAGGTGGGAGAATCACCTGAGCCTGGGGATGTTGAGGCTGCAGTGAGCCAACATTGCACCACTGTACTCCAGCCTGGGTAACAAAGAGAGATCCTATCTCAAAATAATAATAATGACAATAATAATAGAATCTGGCTAGACTATCACATTAGTGAAATGATATAAAATGACATAAAATCATGCCAATTTTCAATTTTAAGACCTGATAATGCCTATTACACATCTTCAAAATTACTAAATCGATTTGAAATGGTACAAACTACAATCAAATATATTTTACTTGGCACCATCAATTTAAGAAACTGCAAATCAGCACAATAAGGACAGTGAAATGCGAAGCAAAAGAATTGCAGAAAAAGAATAATTCCCCCAATATTACTATATTCCTTATGGTGACAGAAGGAAAAGGAAATTTGTTCTTCTTGGTACAAGACCTACTTCCATGCAAGTGGAAAGGGTGGCTGCTCTAATGATGTGGGAATGGAGTCATCAAGAAATGACTCCTTCCAGCAGCAGGAAATGGTTTGAGGGGCATGGAAAGGAACTTCATAGGCCCTTCCATGGCACCTAGAGTCCCCATTCTGCAGGCCTTTAAGGTTACGATATGTTATAATGTATTATGACCAACATATTTATTCATTCAACAAACAGCTATGAAAGACCTATCACACTGTTCTAAGGTCTAGAGACTCTGTGATGACTAGCACAGATATGGCCCCTGCCCTTACGGAGTTAAAGATCTAGAAGAGGAGGTAGAACCCAGGATAAATAATTATACAGATAAATTCTAATAAGTGACACAAAGGGTGTCCCCAGAGGAGATGACAGTGACTAAATCTAGATGTATGTTGGGGGGAGGCAAGTTAGGGAGTGACTTGGTTACATACAACATGCAATATAGTTAATCAGTGTTGAATATGCTGACTCTACTCTTTATAACTAACACCACCTTTAACCAAGTAAATGATATTCATCGTATCTTTGCATCAGTCATTTCAATGCAACTAATTTTTTGAGCACTTGTTTTTATTTCAACTACTTGGAGGTACCACAAAGGAATGCAGAGATGACCATGGTGTAGTTTCTACCCACAAGAGTGAATGATCTGGTCTATAGAGGAAGTGGTCCACAAATAACTGGCAAGACCACAGCATGAAGTGCACCCTAGTGAAGTACGCACTGTAATGAAGTACGTGTCGAATCAGCCGTAAGGGAAGCTAACTGGAGGCAAGGGAAATCTGCAGAGAGCAAGGGGATTCAGGCTGGATCCTAAGACTATATAGCATTTCTCCAGGCCTAGGAGGGAAAGGCACTCCTGGGAAAGGGAAGAGGTGTGAAAAGTTGAAAAGAAGTGCAAAGGTCATTGTGTATTTGGTGAGCAGGCTGCAGACTGGCAGAATGGCAGGGGAGGAGGGTATGGGGACAGAGATGGGGGGCCTGTGGGTGAAGGCAGGTGGGCCAGACTGCGGGGGCCCATGACTCCAGGCTGGGTGGGGGCTGCAGACTGGGGGTGCCATAGGGCACTGTGCAGAGCTCTTCCACTTGACCTCTGGTCTATATCTGCTCTCCCCGTCTCCACCCTGCTCTGCCCTTGGGAGGCGGACTACGTGGACTATGGCTGATGGCTGCCCTTGCCCTCCAGCTTCGGGTTGGGAGCCAAGAGGAGGCCTGGCAGGAGGTGGAAGGAGGGAGGAGGCAAGGTTGGACTATTTACATCCTTGGATCCCTTCCTGGGCTGGCGGCATCCCTCCAGCAGGCCCACAGCTCGCATCAAGACAGCCCCTCCACACAGCTGCTGCGAGCACACGCTCTCATGGTGGCGGGCCCCAGGCTCTGTGCTTTCCCTGTGGGTGCCACGCCCACTCATGCCTTTGTACATAAGCTCTTCATTAAGCTCTCCTCACTTTACCTGGTTGGACTGTTTCATCTCTTCTCCACCAGGACTTGAGCTGATACAGTCAAGCAGCAAGGAAATGGGGTGGGAGTGGGGGCTACTGACGGCATTAGGGGCAAATGCAGAGAGGGAGGGTCTGGGAGAAAGAGGGGACTGGGGGATGGTAGGTGGTGATGTGGTGAAGGGGGGGATATGAGGGAGGGGCGATGACAGACTAGCCACAGACCACAGCACTTACGTGAAACCTATGCGTGCCAGGCCCTCTTCCCCAGGCTTTCACAGAATTCATTTAACCCATGCAGATTCTGTATGAGGCATCGTATTTAACAGATGAGGAAACTGAGGCACAGAGAGGCCAAGTGACTTGGTCAACATCCCAAACTAGTAAGTGGTGAAGTTCAGATTCAAACCCAGGAGAGTCCGGTACCAGAGTCATATTCTCAACTACTGCACTGAACTGACTACTCCGATTGAGGTCAAGGAGGAGGACTTCAGAGCTGGAGATGTTGGGGGAGGCAAGGGACTGTGATGGCAACTCACAGGAAAGCCATCTGTGAGGACTGTCAAAGGAAAGCCACTTGGAGAAGATCTTGCTATCCTATACAAACTGCCTCAATGACAATGCATAATCTTTTTCTTTTTTTTTTTTTTGACAGTGCATAATTTTGTACAGGTATCAGAATGGCAGTAATCCTCAATGATTTGGATCCTTGCATTCAAACATATTACAATTAGCTCTGCTATAATAACTATGTTCCTAAGAACTTCACATTATAAAAAAATCATATAAATAGCTATTTCAATATGGGAAAAGGAGGGCTGTGGTTACAGAGTTGATAAAACTAGATAATTTTTTCCTACAGGAGCTTCAACAACAAACAACTTAATTATATTTTGTTACCATCTGCAAACAATAAACAGCTTGATCAGACCAACAAAAGAGAAATAAAAGCAAAACCTGAACAGCACAGAAAAATAACCTGCAGTCGTATTCACACCCACTGATGGTAGAGAACAGTGCTTGATGCCAGCTGGCCTCCCACCACTCATACAGTACCTCCGTGTGGCCCTATACCCATGTGCAGCCCTTCCTTCCTGTGGGCCAAGGGGCTCTCCAGTGGCACTCACATCCCAACCCTGAGTGGTCCAGAAAATTCAAGCCCCACTCCCCATGTCGTCAGTTGCATAATACTCAGTTCTGAGAATGAAAACTTACACTGTCAGGAAAATATTGATCAATATCATTTAAGGTCTCTTGCAGCAGATAAGATCATAAAAACAACCATGCTCTGGAAAATAAGGAGTGGTTTATAAATGTAACAATAGCACAGCACACCCTATTACTTTTTTCTTTTAGAGACAGGGTTCTGCTCTGTCACCCAGGCAGGAGCGCAATGGCACAATCATAGCTCACTACAGCCTTGATCTCCTGGGCTTAAGCCCAGCCTCCCACCTTGGCCTCCCAAAGCACTGGGATTACAGGCATGAGCCACTGTGCCGGCCTTGTTATTTTAAGTGGCATATCACCATCTTAACTCAGGTTGTCTTACAGCCACATGCCAACATGGCTATTAATGTCAGAAACTTCCAGAGCAATCACTTTCCTCTCTTTACGGAAAAAGACAGAAAGGGAAAATGCTCCCTAGTCAGACCTATGTATTTTTCATTTGCACTGCGGGCTGTTAAATGTGCTAGCTTAACCAAGACTGTAACGAGGACTCCATTAACCAGCTCTTAGAAACGTGGTCAGCCAGGAGCCTGCAGCCACCCAGTGGGCATTCAATAACAGCTACCGACTGTATTGACTGGCCTCGACCTGATTCTGTTGTTTCTGAATAGCCTCATGCTGGGTCCCACATATGTAAAGACAGGATGAGACAGAATGGTCCATTTCTGAAGCTGTTCACTCTGCAGCAAAGGCAGGTTGCTGCGATTATATGCATGCTCATTTTTTATGTGCAAGAGAAGGCAGTCAGCCGACGACACTTGTTAATGAATGATGTTCCATACCTTCATAGTCATAGAAACCAACAAAGGCTGAATCTATTTTGAATTATTTATTCTTTCAGGTTCCAACTGCTAATAAAGGAGTACATCTTCTCTTTGGGGTATAACAGGAGGGACTCAGTAAAGTAGTTTGGAAAGGACATGGTTTAGCTAAGCCATCCTGTGGTTTTGAAAAGGAAGCTTCGAGTGACCGTAGCAGTCAAAGTACGTACAGAAGTCACAAGAATTCATCCACAACTTTAGATTTGAAAAACAATCTAAATGTTAGGATTTGGAAAAAGCAGTATGAATTTTAGGATCTTCGAATAAAACTGGGAAGACACAAACTTCAATCCATGTTACAGAAAATTGGAGATTTTGTCATCAAATTGTTCCTTGGGTACATTTTTTTCCCTTAAAAATGCAACCTTCATCTCCTGAAGTTGAGGTTGGGAGCCAGGTTTGTCCCAAAAAAAAAAAAAAAACAAACAACAACAAAAACATAGCTCTTCAATGATCATAGAAGAGAAATAATAATTAATTATTCATCATTTTGCACAAATTTCCTGAGCAGCTACTGTATGCCAGGCTTATTCTAGGTGCTGGAGATACAGGAGTGAACAAGAGAGACAAGCTACTTGCTCTGTGGAGCTTATATTCCAGTGGTGAAACAGAAAATAAACAAATAAATAAGGAATTTAACCACAGGCAGTGATAAATGCCATAATGAAAGATAAAATAGAGGAAGGGGATAGAGAGCGAGGTGAATGGAGGCCCAGGTTGGATGGGGAAGGCAAGAAGGCTTCTTGGAAGTCACATCTGAGCAGAGATCTGAAGAAAGTGAGGGAACAGGTCTTGCTGTAGTGGAAGAACATTCCAGACTAAGGGACCAGCAAGTGCAAAATCCCGGAGGTGGGAGTGAGCTTATGTGTGAAGACCAGAAAGAAGGCCAGTGCGGCTGGGAAGAGGTGGGAGAAGCAGTCACAGCCAGGCAGGGAGAAGCCAGATCCTGTGGGGCCCAGAGAGCTGATGGAGCAGCTTGGATTGTGTCCTAAGCGCACTGAAAGGTTTTAAGCAGGTGGAAGTGACATTCTGGTGCTGCTGCTGGAAAGGAGACCAAGGAGGGCAAGCATGGGACTGGAGCCCAGGTACGAGGCTACTGCAGGAGTTGTGGAAGATGGTGGCTGGGGTTTGGGTAGA